>NC_000011.10:38393333-38544848 GCF_000001405.40 Homo sapiens | reverse complement strand
CAATATAGAAACTGCTTTGCCTTCCTTGCTATATGGATCTGAGCAGAAATTTAACTAGATGATAACAAGATACAGAATAATAATGTATGAATCTTATTTCCTTTCCTTATTTATTTGGATGAAAGTTAATGGCTAAATCAGTATGTTACAGTGTCAAACACTCTCAGATTCTCAATTTCCTACAATCCCTGACTTTGAAACCTCTAATTTCTAGTTCTAATTATAGATTTCACCAACATAAAGTTAGAGTTATCACAGACTGTTCATACTTTGCGTCCACAGGATTGAACAACAGAGGAATAAGGAGAATTAAGCAGCACATTTAATCTCTGCCTCCATATATGTGTAGTGGGAGTTCGCAGTTCTGAGACTCTAATGCTTTGTTTCTACACCACTGTTCTTTCTGGTCTCCTACCTTATTTGCTGTTCCTTTTCAGGGTGTCAGTATTACACACTACAAACATGAGTAATTTTCTCCCAGTGCTTAGTTCTGCATATAGGCTAAGGATTGGGTTTATGTCAGAGAGAGAGGTCCCACTGGGGAAAAGAAAAATCAGCAGACATTTTAGTGGTCCTTCAGTGCTGGAATAATAAATTGGAGACTTAGAAACCTCAAATAATCAGTTGACTTGACCCAGGCGTTTTTTGCCGAGTTATGGGTTTGCACACAGGAGGCGGGAGGACTAGGCTGAGAATTTTTAAAGTCACAGTAATATATTCTTCAGTCTCACAGTGCTTATCAACCTAAGGCTAACAAGAAAAGAGGTCTGCCTCCAACACAAAGTCTCCAGCATTTCTCAGGTTTGGAACTACATAGTGTGGGTTGGTGGAAGAGAAGAAAAAAAATAGAGGGCATGAATTTATCATAGACTTTAAAAGTAAATAACCCAATTAGCTAGGTTCCCAAGAAGAACAAAAATAATAAGACAAGAAAAATGAGATTGAACCAGAGTATACTAAGTCTTACTGCAACTCTACTCCAATTCTTACTAAGATCAATTCATTTTTGAATTAAAATGTCCATCCTCACGCTATCTAAGAGAGGAAATTAAAAAAAAAGTAGTCTTGGAAGTGAGAACATCACCTGTAGGTTTTTGCTTTTTTATTCTAGACATGGCAAGAGGCAAGAAAATAAGACTAATAATCAATAGAATAAAAAAGAAATAAATGCATGGATGATATAGGCACTGGAGTTTTAAAAAGATATGATTTTTTTTAATTGAGAAAGTTACATGTAAAGTTACACTACAGATACTATGTTTTCTCTGACTCTAAGCAACCATCACCCACCCCAAACTACATTCCGTTCTCCCCTAGATTACATGTGAGAAGCATTACCCAGGTCAAGTCATGGTAAAACAATGTGCACAGGCAGCAGAAAAAAAAGGAATGCCAAAATAACTATGATTGGTATGTTTAAGAAAACAGAAGAGTGTTTAAAACATAAAATGATGATTGGAACTGTGAAGAATGAATTCATTGCAACATTATTTGCCATAGCAAAGACAGGGAATTAACCTAGGTGCCCATCAATGGTGAACTGGATAAAGACAATGCTATATATATATATATATATATATATATATATAAAAAATATAATATACATATACTATATATTATATATACTATATGTATATATATAGTATATATAATATATATAAAATATATAATATACTATGTAATATATATATTATATATGGTATATATATTATATATGGTATATATATTATATATTACCATATATAATATATATATCATGTAATACTACACAGCCATACAAAGAACAAAATTGTGTCATTTGCAGTAACATGGTTGCAACTGAAGGCCATTATTCTAAGCGAATTAACACAGGAACAGAAAACCAAATACTGCATGTTTTTACTTAGAAGTGGGAGCTAACACTGAATACACATAAACATAAAGATGAGAACAACAGACACTGGGGACTACTACAGGGGGTGGGAGGGAGAGGTATGTGGGTTGAAAGACTATTGTGTACTATTGGGTAGAGTGCACACTACCTGGGTGATAAGATAATTTGTACCCCAAACCTCAGCATCACCCAATATACACATGTATGAAACCTGCACATGTGCTCCATGAATCTCAAATACAAGTTGAAATTATTTAACAAAAGAACAATACAACAGATGAAATTTTTGATTTACTATAACTTAATCAACAGATTGGCTAGAGCAGAAAACAAATTCATTAACTGGAAAGTATATTAATAGAAAAAAATGCCTTAAAAGGGAAGTATGGAGAGAAAAGGAAAAAATAGTTAAATAAATACAAAACCTATTGGGCGTGCTCACAAATTCTGAGAAAAACAACTCCCCTGGAGCCCTAGAAAGGGAAGAAAGAGGTTGATCAATTTATTTTTGGTGCTAATGTGTTTCAGGCCACTGTAAAACATCAAGGTGGAGTTGCCCCCTATTCAGGCATTATACCAATATAAATAAATAACCTGGGTTCTACCAATATTGATCAAAATGCTGGAGCAGGAAAACAAAATGTGGGGGTTCCTATTAGGAAGACACATCTATCTAGCAGGTTAAAGGTCTATTTGCCCATTAAATGGGTCATCCTCAGATTATCTTTGACTCTAAATCCTTTTAGAGTGTGCTTTCTGAAGGCTGAGTAGGACTAAAAAATAGTGAGAAAAAAAGAACACATTTTTCTTCTGGTTGTTCAAGGAAAGTCACCTTGGACATGGAAAGGTCATTTTTATTATAAATAATGGGGTCACTTTTCAGGTGATAAACAATGTTGAATGATCCAGATTTACAGAAGCAGAAGAGGCAAGAACAGACAACATTGCCACAATTCAAGCCTCTACTGTGTTAATCAGTATCCTGGAAAAGAGAAAAAGCTGAAGAAGAAAAAAGAAATAAATTATGTATTTTCAAGATGCACTTGGTATTAGTAGCTATTAGGTCATAAAGTTCTATTGCTGCCCATTGAAATATCCAGCAGTATTGCTGATTATGTGGTTCAATTATAAACGAGAAACTTAATTTCAGCTGCTTCAGTAAATACTGCATCTTTCTTAAATCAAATAACAAATTAACTTCTTCCTGCTTGAAGTCCCCATAGCACTCAGTTAAAATATATATATAATAATAAAAAATATATAATAATAAAAATATATAATAATAATAATAAATATATATATACATATACCAATTCTACCTACATATGTGATAGCATTATGACTTTGTAAAATAATGCATCTGGTAATAGGCAAAGGCAATAATAACAGAAAAACAATGACAACAAAAATAATAATAATGTCACTTCAAACAGGTACTTGAATGCTTATGAGAGGCCTTTGACTTATTTTTATTAGTGAATGCATCTGGCAATAAAATTATCAAAATATCAAAGAATAATGCTGCAGAAATCTCTGAGACAATGACTACCAGAGGACAATTAGGAAATAAAAAGAACTTAACGTAAGACTAATCCCAGTTTGATCTATAGAATAACTCCCGAGTCACGAGAAAGTTTGCTTTAATGTAGATTGAGATAAGTATAATATTGATATATGGCATTTGCTGTGAGTGCATTTAAATGTAGTTTGTAATCACAGAAACATATAAGATACGGTCCTCAATATTTACCTCTCAAAACGATAATATTATTGATATAAAATAAAGATCTGTTTTCCTTCCACTGTGCCTCGTAGGTAAAGAAAGAAATATAAGTGGTCCTAATTACTAACGAAGAAATGGTAGTGGAGTATTTGTCACATAGCGGTTATATACAATGAAAAAACAGAGAGCTAATCTTTACTAAAATGCAGTGACCAGGTAGCTTCAATTAAAGGGATGTACCTGTAATGAATAGATCATAAAGATGTTCAGCGGAAACATGCAATGAAGAAAGTGAAAAACTCTATTAAAGGCATCCAAATAACGAGTCAATTTGAAAATATAATTTTGTTACTTAAGTTTTGTTTAAACCTTTAAACAGATGGCAGCTTGTTTAAAATTCTAAAAGTAAAATATATCAACGCTAAACTCTTGTAGTTGGGAGCGGGAGTGGCAATTCTTTGAAAAAATATTTAAACTTCTCATTCGGCAAAGCAGAGGGGCTAATAAATAAAATATCCACATTCATATAACTATTGAAGCCAAAGAAGGTGCCAGTAATGAAAGAAAGATATAAAAAAACTCTAAGAAGACCATTAAGGTGATTCAGTTGTGAATTTACAGGATGTCAGTTAAATTAATTTCTTTTTAGAGATTCCTTTCAATGCCTCCGGGAAATGGAAAATATTTATAACTAAAAGACCTAGATTATATCATTTATTTCTCCAAAAAGTTTCAACAACTCCTTGTTATATGCAGAAAAAAGGCCAAGTAGTCAAGCCTGATATTTGTGGGATCCTCCAATGTTATTTAAAATAAAAATTTCAGCATCATTTCTGATTATATTATCTATATGCTTCACGGCTGAAATTCAGCATCAGATTTGCTTTTCCAGATATGCTTCTTCTCAGTCTAACCAGTGCTTGACTTTATTATGTAAATCTCTCCTCTACATGCGAGGCTTCTGATATTATCACATTTGCAAAACAGTGCTTGATGCTTACTATTGAACTGAATACTAAGTTTCCTTTTTGGATACTCAAAAATTACTTACGGTGTAGTCAAAGAATATCTCATGTAAACAACATTTCAGAACTGCCATCTGTTTACAATTTCAAACAAAACTTAAATGACAAAAATTATATTTTAAAAATAACCTGAGCAGAAAGTTATTTATAATTCCCCTCTATGTGTTTTAAGAAACATAAAATCAAGTACTTAGTCATATTTGTATTTTATTCCTCACAGCATGTTACACTTTGTTTTTCCATATAACAATCATAAGCTAAAAGGGTGTTGAATCAATAAATGAATGAAAAGGTTATTTCTGTTTTTATTTAATATTTAAGGTGAACGGGGACTGTTGCAGATGTATTGCATTTGTATTTTGTTTTTTCAATTATTACTGACTTAAGTCACAGTTTTGCAAAACACATCTCCAGTTATGCATAAATGGTAAGCATATCGAATGTGTGTGTATGTGTGCTTGTGTGTGTGTGTGTGTGTGTGTGTGATAGAGAAATAGCATAACATGTTATAAGATATTAATATTTATGGAAAACTTTTCCAGGTGTTTTTCCCCTCCCTGGTCATTAGTAACATTTAAACACCCTCTTGCACTATTTCCCTTTCCCCAGTTATTTTCTTCTCTTATATTTTTTCCTTCCTTATATAATAAAATTATTTCTAGAAATGCACACTAAAGGATATTTTTGACGACCAGGTGGCAACCTACTTTGAAAATCAATGAGAACACATGGACACAGGAAGGGGAACATCACACACTGGGGACTGTTGGGGGTGGGGGAAGGGGAAAGGAATAGCATTAGGAGATATACCTAATGTAAATGACGAGTTAATGGGTGCAGCACACCAACATGACACATGTATACATATGTAACAAACCTGCACGTTGTGCACATGTATCCTAGAACTTAAAGTATAATAATAATAAAAAAAAGAAAAAAAAGACTAGTGTGGCAACTTTCATGAATTTTAAATTCTCCATTGGCCTGTAATGTACATATCACCTTCAATTTGCAGAATTTCTGACTTAGTTTGGATCAGAAGAATAGAGATCAATGCCTATTCATTGCACTTTTTATCTTGAAGACCTTAGAATAAGAAAAAAATATATATCATAAGTAAAGCTGGTCTGGCGAGATATCCAAAGCAATTTTGCTGTGTCAAGAGTGGCAGATAGATGTGATAAGCACACGACCTTTGAAGTGCTTATCTAAACCAAGCAGAAACCGCTACTCTTAGTCCAGCCCATCACTTTCTGTTAGTACAAGAATAGAAGAGTTTGGATGAAGAAATTTGAGCAGGGAGCAGAGGGTGAATAAGAATGTGATCTAAATCATTTGATTCAGAATCATTTGCCTGTTCTTACTTTTAATTTATTAGTGTGATGCAAAGCCAGCCCTCATACCTGGATTGGGCAAATACTTTGGGATTATTTTTTCCAATATTAGATTATATATATTATATATATGAGTTTCATGAAATTAATTTTGAAAAAATAATAATTCTTCATCACAGAAACCCCAGCTCACACTTTGCTCTAAGAGCTTCTGGGATTATAAAATGTAAATTAGGTGCAAAAAGCTCTAGTATTTATCTTGAGCATTACCAAGTACAGTAACTGACTGGTATGTGTGATGGTTAATTGAGTGCCAATTTGACTGGATTGAAGGATGAAAACTATTGATCCTGGGTGTGTCTTTGAGGGAGTTGCCAAAGGAGATTAACATTTGACTCACTAGGCTGGGAAAGGCAGACCCATCCTTAATGTGGGTGGGCACCACCTCATCAGCTGCCAGCATGGCTAGAATATAAAGCAGGCAGAAAAACGTGAAAAGACTAGACTGGCGTAGTCTTCCAGCCTACATCTTCTCCTGTGCTGGATGCTTCCTGCCCTCCAACATTGGACTCCAAGTTCTTCACTTTTGGAACTTAGACTGGCTCTCCTTACTCCTCATTTTGCAGATGGCCTATTAAGGGATCTTGTGATTCCACAAGATAGATATATATATATATATATCTCCTATTAGTTCTGTCCCTCTAGAGAACCCTGACTAATACAGATTTTGGTACCAGGAGTGTTTCTAGAGAAGCAGAATATTAAGGATGGAGTTCTTTCGTTAGGGTTTCTGGAGTGGGCTGCTTAATATGATTAGACCCAAAAATGCTAAGAACTCTACTTCTAATAGTATGGAGAACACTGACAGTCCTTGGTGTAAACCACTTACAGAATTATGCAAACTAAATTCATTTGACACCCACGATTCACGGCTCATGACAGGCAAGGAGTTTATTGACTCTATACATAATACCTTTGACCACATGCGGAGAAACAAGGAACATAATGAAGCTCATTGGTTGCTCCTAAGTTTAGTGGACACAGTGATAAAAGAAAATGATGAACTCAGGGATTCTAACTTCTGCCTTCAGAAGCAGATACTGAGTCCTAAATCTGCTAAGATTTCCCCAAGTGAGAGTCTTATTTCCTGTAGAGAAAGAGTTGAAATTGTGGAAAAACAAACACAAGCTCTTATCATGCAAGTGCCTACCCTACAGTGAATAGCACATGCACAGACTCACCAGGTGTCTACTGTTACAGTGAGGGCATTGATTGGAAAAGAATGAGAACCTGCAACTTGGAATGAGGATGTGTGAGAGGATCCTGATGAAGCTGGGGACACTGAGTTTGAAACTCTAATGAACATTTTTTGCCAGAAGAAACAGCTTCTCTATCCCCATTAGTGGCAACATCCCCTCCAGGATGCATGCTGCCATCAGCCTTTCCAACTTTGTCTGAGGAGATAAATCCTGCACTGCCTAAGGCAACAATGATGGTCACCCCTGGGGCAGTTAGTCAGGCAACATAATGTTGATTCTCCTCAGGAGCCATCTCCGTGACCCCTGCTTGCTTTTAGTCCTATAACTAGACTAAAGTCCTGGTGAGCCCCTAGAGGTGAGGTTGAGAGTGTGACCCATGAAGAGGTGTGCTACACTGGAAAAGAAATGCTTGAGTTTTCTAATTTATATAAACAGAAATCTGGAGAACAGGCAAGGGAATTGATATTAAGGGTGTGAGATAATGGTGGAAGAAACACAGAGTTGGATCAGCCAGAATTTATTAATTTGGGCCCACTTAGTAGGAATTCTCCATTTAATGTTACACCTAGGGGATTTAAAAAAGGTTATAATAATTTATTGGCTTGTTTAGCTGAAATATGGATTAAAAGATGGCCCACAGAGAGCGAGCTGGAAATGCCTGGTTTTCCTTGGTTTAATGTAGAGGAAGGGATCCAAAGGCTTAGGGAGATTGGGATGAGGGAATGGATTGGTCACTTTAGACCTACTCATTCCAGCTGGAAGGGTCCAGAAAATATACCTTTGACCAATGCCTTGTGAAATAGATTTGTGATGTCAGCACCTGCATCTTTGAAGAGCCCTGTAATTGTTCTTCTTGGTATATCAGATCTAACAGTGGAAACTACAGTCACTCAACTACAAAATTTAACTACAATGGGAATAATTGCATCCTGAGGTGGCAGGAGCCAAGTGGCGGGGCTCAACCATCAAAGGCAAGGTGGGCATATCTACCATAATGGACAGTGAGTCAAAAAGCAATCAGAATAGTCTGACTCATGAAGAGCTCAGTCACTGGCTAATTAATCACAGTGTTCCTGGAAGTAAAATTGATACAAAGGCTACTGTATTCCTACATAATTTATATAAGCAGATAACTTCAAGGTCAAATGGACAAAAGACTAATTTGAATTACCAAAAAGAGAATCACGGCCACTGAATCAATGTCCAGATTTGAGCAAGTTTACAGACCCAGGACCCCCTGAATGAAGGGGAGGCCAGGTCCCCTTGAAGAAGGACCCCACTACACTACTGACAGTTTATGCTGTTAATCTTTCCCTCGTCTTTCCCCAAGGAGACCTCTGGCCATTTACCAGGATAACTGTGCATTAGGGAAAGGAAAATGATTATACATTTTGGGGACTATTGGACACTGACTCTGAGCTGATGTTGATTCCAGGGTACTGAAAATGTCATTGTGGACCTCCAGTTGAAGTAGGAGCTTATGGAGGTCAGGTAATTAATGAAGTTTTAGCTCAGG
This sequence comes from Homo sapiens, assembly GCF_000001405.40. NCBI lineage: Eukaryota > Metazoa > Chordata > Mammalia > Primates > Hominidae > Homo > Homo sapiens. The sequence continues at coordinate 38,536,118 of NC_000011.10, read as the reverse complement.
TCTGACTTACACTGGGTCCAGTGTGTCCCCAGACTTATCCTGTGGTCATTTCCCCAGTGCCAGAATGCATAATTGGCATAGGCCTAATTAGCAGCTGATAGAACCCTCACATTGGCTCTCTGACTGGTACAGTGAGGGCTACTATGGTGGGAAAGGCCAATTGGAAGCCATCAGAACTGCCTCTACCTAGAAAAATGGTAAATAAAAACAATATCACATCCCTGGATGCATTGCAGAGATTAGTGCCACCATCAAGGAACTGAAAGACCCAGGGGTGGTGATTCCCACCACATCCCCATTCAACTCTCCCATTTGGCCTGTGAAGAAGACAGGTGGATCTTGGAGAATGACATGGATTATTGTAAGCTTAACCAAGTGTTGACTCCAATTGCAGTTGCTATACCAGATGTAATTTCATTGCTTGAGCAAATGAACACATCTTCTGGTACCTGGTTTGTAGTCATTACCTTGGCAAATGCCTTTTTCTTCTTTCCTGTCCATAAGGCCCACCAGAAGCTCTTTGCCATCAGCTGGCAAGGCCAGCAATATGCCATTACAGTCCTCCCTCAGGGGTATATCAACTCTCCAGCTTTGCATCATAGTTTATTTGGAAAGACCCTGATCGCTTTTTGCTTCTGTAAGATATCACACTGGTCCATTACATTGGTGACATTATGTTGATTGGATCCAGTAAGCAAGAAGTGGCAAGCATGCTGGACTTATTAGTGAGATATTTGCATAGCAGCGGATGGGAAATAAATCTGACTAAAATTCAGGAATCTTCTACCTCAGTAAAATTTCTAGTGGTCCAGTGGTGTGGGGCCTGTCGAGACATTCCTTCTAAGGTGAGGGATCAGTTGCTGCATTTGGCCTCTCCTACAACCAAGAAAGAGGCACAACCCCTGGTGGGCCTATTTGGATTTTTGAGGCAACACATTCCTCATTTGGGTGTGATAATATGGCCCGCTTAATGAGTGAACCGAAAGGCTGTCAGTTTTGAGGGGTCCAGAAAAAGAGAAGCCCTGCAACAGGTCCAGGCCGCTGTGCAAGCTTCTCTGCCACTTGGGCCATAGGACCCAATAGATCCAATGGTGCTTGAAGTTTCAGTAGTAGATAGGGATGCTGTTTGGAGCCTCTGGCAGGCCCTCATATGTGAATCACAGTGAAGGCCTCTAGGATTTTGAAGCAAGACCCTGCCATCTCCTGCAGACAACTACTGTCTTTTTGAGAGGCAGCTCTTGGCTTGTTATTGGGCTTCGGTGGAAACTGAATGTCTGACTATGGGTCATCAAGTCACCATGAGACCTGAACTGCCTGTCATGAACTGGGTGCTTTCTGACCAATCCAGCCATAAAGTTGGGAGTGCTCTGGAGCATTCCATCATCAAATGGAAGTGGTATATACATGACTGGGCTTGAGCAGGTCCTGAAGGCACAAGTAAGTTACATGAAGAAGTGGCTTGATGCCCATGATCTCCACTCCTGCCACCCTGCCTTGTCTTCTCCAGCCTGCCCCGATGGCCTAATGGGGAGTTCCCTATGATCAGTTGACAGAAGAGAAGACTAGGGCCTGGTTCATAGACAGTTCTGCATGATATGCAGGCACCACCGGAAAGTGGACAGCTGCAGCAGTACAGCCCCTTTCTAGGACATCTCTGAAGGACAGTGGTGAAGTAAAATCTTCCCAGTGGGCAGAAGTTCAAGCAGCGCACCTGGTTGTGCACTTTGCATGGAAGGAGAAATGACCAGATGTGCGATTATATACTGATTCATAGGCTATAGGCAATGGTTTGGTCGGATGGTCAGGGACTTGGAAGAAGCATAATTGATAAACTGGTGACAAATAAATTTGGGAAAGAGGTATCTGAATGGTCACAAACTGTGAAGATATTTGTATCCCATGTGAGTGTTCACCAATGAGTGACCTCAGCAGAGGAGGATTTTAATAATCAATCAGCTAGGATGACTGGTTCTGTGGATACCACACAGCCTCTTTTTCTACCCACCCTTGTCATTGCCCAATGTGCCCATGAGAAAAGTGGCCATGGTGGCAGAAATGGAGGTTACACATGGGCTCAACAACATGGAATTCCACTTACCATGGCTGACCTGGCTACGGCCACTGCTGAGTGCCCAACTTGCCAGCAGCAGAGACCAACACAGAGCCCTGGATATGGCACCATTCCTTATGGTGATCAGCCAGCTATGTGGCGGCATTTCCTCAGTTTGCAGATGGCCTAATGTGGAACCTTGTGATCATGTGAGTTAATACTTAATAGACTCCCCTATATATATAATATACATATATATATATATATACATATATGTGTATATATTTATATATCCTATTAGTTCTGTCCCTCTAGGTTGATTATATTGGACCTCTTCCATCATAGAAAGGGCAGAGGTTTGTCTTCACTGGAATAGACGCTTACTTCGGATATGGGTTTGCCTACCCTGCACACAATGCTCCTGCCAAGACTAACATCCATGGACTCATGGAATGCTTTATCCACAGTCATGGTATTCTGCACCGTATTGCTCTGACCAAGGCACTCACTTTATGACTAAAGATGTGCAGCAGTGGGGCTCATGCTCATGGAATTCACTGGTCTTACTATGTTCCCCATCACCATGAAGCAGCTGGATTGATAGAAGAGTGGAATGGCCTTTTGAAGTCACAATAACAATACCAACTAAGTGACAACACTTTGCAGAGCTGCAACAAAGTTCTCCAAAGGCCATGTATTCTCTGAATCAGCATCCAATATATTTTATTGTTTCTCCCATAACTAGGATTCACTGGTCCAGGAATCAAGGGGTGGATGTGAAAGTGGCATCCCTCACCATCACCATTAGTGATCCACTAGCAAAATTTTTGCTTCCTCTTCCCGAAACGTTACGTTCTGCTGGCCTAAAGGTCTTAGTTCCAGAGGGAGGAATGCTGCCACCAGGAGACCCAACAAAAATTCCATTAAACTAGAAGATTGCCACCTGGACACTTTGGGATCTGCAAGCTCCTGGCAATCATCTTTCTATTCTCTGCTTTTGTAAGTCTGAACATTTTTGGTATATTATATATACATGCTATATAAGTGGTATGATGTATTTGTTCTGTATCTAGCTTATTTTACTTAGCATTATGTCCTCAAGATAAATCAATATTGTCACAAATGGCAGAATTTTCCTCATTTAAGGCTGAATAGTGTTTCATTGTATGTATATGCCACATTTTCATTATCTATTCATTTGACAGTGGACATACAGGTTGCTTCCATGTGATAATGCTGTAATGATCATGAGCAAGAGGATATCTCTTTGACAACCTGATTTCAATTATTTTGGGTATATATCCAGGTGTGGAATTACTGGATCGCATAGTAGTTCTATTTTAAATCTTTCGTGCAATGTCCATTCCGTTTGCTATAGTGGCTGTAACAATTTGCATTCTCACAGAGTGTTATATTAGTCCGTTCTCACATTGCTATAAAGAAATTCCTGGGCCAGGCACGATGGCTCACGCTTGTAATCCCAGCACGTGGGAGGCCGAGGCAGGCTGATTGCGAGATCAGGAGATCGAGACCATCCTGGCTAACACGGTGAAACCCCAACTCTACTAACAATACAAAAAATTAGCTGGGCCTGGTGGTGGGTGCCTGTAGCTTCAGCTACTTGGGAGACTGAGGCAGGAGAATGGTGTGAACCCAGGAGGTGGAGCTTGCAGTGAGCGGAAATCACGCTACTGCACTCCAGCCTGGGCAACAGAGCGAGACTCCGTCTCAAAAACAAACAAACAAACAAACAAACAAAAAAAAAAACAAAAAAAAGAAATTCCTGAGACTGGCTAATTTAGAAAGAAATGAGGATTCATTGGCTTATAGTTCTATAGGCCGTACAGGAAGTATACTGGCATCTGCTTCTAGGGAGGCCTCAGGAAACTCACAATCATGGCAGAAGACAAAGAGGCAGCAGTAACATCTTACCTGGCCAGAGGAGGAGCAAGAAGGAGAGGAGGAAGGTGCCACACACTTCTTAACAACTAAATTTTGTTAGAACTTATTTACCATCAGGAGAACAGCACTGAGAGGATGGTGCTAAAGCATTCATGAAGGATCTACCCCCATGATCCAATCACCTCCTACCAGGCCCCACTTCCGATATTGAGAATTATAACTGAACATGAGATTTGGGTGGGGACGCAGGTACAAACCATATCAAATGTACAGGATTTCCCTTTTCTTCACATCCTAGCCAACACTTGCTATCTTTTAAAAAAAATAATTGCCATCCTAACGGTTGTGAGGTGATATTTCACAACTGTTTTGATTTCCCTTTGGATGATTAATAATGGTGAGCCCACTTTTATGTATCTATTGGCCATTTGTATGTATGTCTTCTTTGGAGAAATGTCTAAGAAGTTCCTTTCACATATTTATTATTCTTATTATTTTGCTATTGAGGTTTAGGAGTTATTTGTACATTTTGAATATTAACCCTTTGTCAGATAAATGGTTTGCAAATGTTTTCTCCCAGTCTGTAGCTTGCCTTTTCATTGTGTTGTTTTCTTTCTTATTCAGAAACTCTTTAGTTTGATGTGATCTCATTTGTCAACTTGTGTTTTTGTTGCCTGTGCTTTTTTTTTTTTTCTGAGACAGAGTCTCGCTCTGTCGCCCAGGCTGGAGTGCTGCAGTGGCAAGACCTTGGCTCACTGCAACCTCCACCTCCCGGGTTCAAGCAATTCTCCTGCCTCAGCCTCCCAAGTACCTGGGACTACAGGCGCCCGCCACCACGCCCGGCTAATTTATGTATTTTAGCAGAGTCGGGGTTTCACCATGTTGGCCAGGCTGGTCTCAAACTCCTGACCTGAGGTTATCTGCCCGCCTTGGCCTCCCAAAGTGCTAGGATTACAGGCGTGAGCCACTGCACCCGGTCTGCCTGTACTCATGAAGTGTATGAGGGACTTTAAAAAGTTTTTGAAAAATGAAATTAAAAGATAAAAATAGAAAATAGAAACTTTATTTCTCAATGTAAACTTCATCAACTTCAAGACATTTTTGTAAGTGATAATACCAGCCATTTGGTCCATCCCTAAAGAAGTGAGGGTCTGGCCGGGCGTGGTGGCCCATGCCTGTAACCCCAGCACTTTGCGAGGCCAAGGTGGGCGGATCACCTGAGGTTAGGAGTTCGCGACCAGCCTGACCAACATGGAGAAACCCTGTCTCTACTAAAAATACAAAATTAGCTGGGCATGGTGGCACACACCTGTAATCCCAGCTACTCGGGAGGCAGAGGCAGGAGGAGGATCGCTTGAACCCAGGAAGCGGAGACTGTGGTGAGCCAAGATCACACCATTGAACTCTAGCCTGGGAAACAAGAGCAAAAACTCTGTCAAAAAAAAAAAAAAAAGAAGAAGAAGAAGTGAGGGTCTTGGGAATTTTGCCATGTCAATGAAATCATTTTTATATTATTACCTAAAGAAAATGAGTACCTTTTACAAGGGTTTTAAGATTAAGAGAAAAAAATAAGTCAGAAGGAGCCAAGACATAACCATAAGGTGGATGTCTAATAATTTCCCATTGAAATTCTTGCAAAATTGCCCTTGTTTGATAAGAGGAATGAACAGGAGCATTGTCCTGGTGGAAAATGACTCACTGGTGAAATTTCCTAGGTGTTTTCTTGCTAAAGCTTTGGCTAGCTTTCTCAAAACACTCTCATAATAAGCAGATGTTATCTTCCTTTTGGCCCTCCAGAATGTCAACAAGCAAAATGCCTTGAGCATCCCAAAAAATTGTTACCACGACCTTTCCTGTTGATTGGTCTGGTTTTGCGTTGACTCAACCACTTCCACCACTTGGCTACCATTGTCTTGATTGTGCATTGTCTTCAGGATTGTACTGGTAATGCCATGCTACATCTCCTGTTATAATTCTTTAAATAAACATTTCAGGATCTTGATCCTACTTGTTTAAAATTTCCATTGAAAGCTCTGCTCTTGTCCATAGCTGATCTGGGTGCAACAGTTTGGCATCCATCGAGTGGAAAGTTTGCTCAAGTTTAATTTTTCAGTCAGAAGAATCATGTAGGCTAAACTAATTGATATGTCTGCGATGTTGCCTGTTTGTGGTGTTAATAGTCATTCCTCCTCAGTCAGGGCATTATCAAGATTATTTTTTTCCTTGCATATCAATGTGGATGGACAACCACTGCAGCTCCATCTTCAACATCATCACCCCTTTTTAAAACAAGTTATTCATGTGCAAACTGATACTCTATTTGGAACATCATCCCCATAAACTTTTTGTAAAGCATCAAGTATTTCACCTTTCTTCTACTCAAGGTGTGCCATAAACTTTATGTTTGTTCTTGCTTCAGTTTTAGAAGAATTCATGTTGTTCTGATAGGGGTTCTTTTCAAGCCTATCTCTTGTTTTACTTACTGCCTCACACTAGATCCTGTGCATACACATTATAACAAGTTAGTATGAGTTTATTTTGGTGCTAAATATTTTTGAAATCCATGCATTTTTTTCATAATACACATTTTCTATGAAACTCTTAAAGACCTCTCATATAATTCAATGAATTTTTACCATAGTACAAAAAATCTTCAACCATTAATTACTACAGTTGATTTTAGATTTCCCTCAACACACGTAGAAATCTGTCTACCTCCACCTCATCACCACCCCATATCAGAAGCAAACACTAACCTATTTTCTGTCTCTATTTATTTACTCTGAATATTTTATATAAATGGAATCATACATGTGGTCTTTTTTGACTGGCCTTTTTCACTTTGTATAATATTCTCAATGTTCATCCATGATGTAGCATGTAGCAGTACTTTATTCTTTTGTATGACCGAATAATATTCCAGTGAATAGAAACACCATGTTTTGTTTCTCCGTCATCTATGGATGGGTATTTGGGTTGTTTCCGTCTTTTGGCTGTTGTGAATAGTACTGTTATAAATATTTTGTACATTTTTCTTGCTTGTTTGTTTTTTATTTCTTGAGTATATAACTAGGAGAATAGTAATTCCCACACTGTTTTCCACTGTTTTCCAGTTTAGGTTCCCAGCAGCAATGTACAATGGTTCCAGATTTTCCACATCTTTATTAATACTTGTTATATTTCTTTTAAAAAATTATTATTGCTATAGTTATCCCAGTGGATGTGAAGGATATCTTGTGCTTTGGCTTACATTTTGGTAATTAGTAATGAGAGTTTTCTTATGACCTTATTGTCCTTTATGTATATTTGGATAAGTTTTTCTTCAGATCTTTGCCCATCTTTTTCAGCCTTATTTAGATATAATTGACAATAAAAATTGTAGACATATGATGTACAATGTGTTTTGTATACATATGCAATGTGAAATGATTATAACATCAAACTAATTAATGTATCCACCGACTTAGTTCCTTAGTTTTCTTTTTTCTTTTTTCTTTTTTTTTTTTTTTTTTGGTGTGGTGTATAAGAACATTTCAGATCTACTCTCTTAACAACTTTCAAGTATACAATACAATCTTATTAACTATAGTCACCATGTATATATTATATCTCTGGAACTTATTCATCCTACATAACTATATTTTTCTACCCTTTGACTAACGTCTTCCCATTTTCTCCATTATCTTATTATAATTGAGTTGTGGATGTTCTTTATAGATTCTTAAAACTAGCCCCTTAGCAGATATATGATTAATAAATATGTTCTATTTCTGTGAGTTGCACTTTCACTTTCTTGATAGTGTTTTTGATGCACAAATGTTTTTAATTTTGATAAAGTGCATTTATTCTATTTCTTGCTGTTGTTGCTTGTTTGTCTTGTGTCATATGTCAGAAACCACTGTCAAATGTGACATCATGAATATTTGCCTCTGTATTTTCTTCTGACACAGATTTATAGTTTCGGCTCTTATATTTAGGTTTTCAATTCATTTTGAGTTAATTTTTGTAAACAGTGTTAAGTAAAATTACAACTTCAATCTTTGCATGTGGCTATATGGTTGTCTTAGCACCATTTGTTGAAGACAGTTCTTTCCTCATTAAATAGTCTTGGCACTCTTGTTGAAATTAAGCTGACTGTAGACATGCCTTTATTTCTAAACACTGCATTTTATTCCATTGACCTATATTTCTATTCCTACTTATGCTAGCATGGTCATGTTTTGATCACTGATTTTTTTTTTCTAATAAGTATTAAAACTGGGAGTTGTGAGGCCCCCTAAATTGTTCTTTCTTCCAAAAAGTTTATTTATACTATTCTGGGTCCCTTCTGTTTCCATATTAATTTTAGTTTTGACTTCTCAATTTCTATAAAGCAGTCAACTTGGATCCCATTAGAAATTGTATTGAATCTGTAGATCTATTTGAGAGAATGTATCTAACCTAACAATATTATTATTGCCTAGGTTGATGTCAGAAGAGATTTTCCAACATTGCCTTCTAGAATTTGTACAGTTTCAGGTGTTATATTTAAGTATTTGATCCACCTTGAGTTGGATTTTGTATATGGTAAGAGATAGGGATACAGTTTCATCCTTCCACGTATGACTTTCCAGTTTTCCTAATTAATTAATTATCAGGGTGTCCATTTCTTAATTTATGTTTTTGTTTGTTTTGTCTAAGAACAGTTGGCTGTACATATTTGTCTTTATTTCTGGATTTTCTATTCTGTTGCCTTGGGCTATGTGCCTTCTTTTATACTAATACCATGCTGATTTGGTAAGTATAGCCTTGTAGTATAATTTGAGGTCTGATCATGTGATGCCACCAGATTTATTCTTTTTGCTTAGGATTGCTGTAGCTATTTGGGCTATTTTAATTCCATATAAATTTTAGGATTGCTTTTTGTAATTTTATGAAAAATGATGTTGGTATTTTGATGGAAATTGCATTGAATCTGTAGATTGAGGAAGTGGATTGTATGTTTCCAGGAATTCATCCATTTCCTCAAGGTTTTCTAGTTTTTACCCATAAATATGTTCACAGTAGTCTTGAATGATGTGGTATCAGTTGTAAAGTCTTCAATTTAGTTTCTAATTGAGCTTATTTAGATCTTCTTTCTTCTTTTCTTGGTTAATCTAGTTAATAGTTTATCAATTTTGTTTATTTTTTCAAAGAATACACTTTTTATTTCACTGATCTTTTGTATTATTTTTTGCTTGTTTGTTTAAATTTCATTTAGTTCTGCTCTGATCTTTATTACTTTTCTTCTTTTAGCTTTAGAATTAATTTGTTATTTTTTATTCAGTTCCTTGAGTTGTGATGTGGGTTGTTTATCTGTGCTGATTCATACCTTTTGATGTAGGCATTTAGTGCTATAAACTCCCTCTTAACACTGCTTTTGCTGTATCCCAGAGATTTAATAACTTGTGTCATTATTGTCATTCAATTCAGATATTTTTAAATTTCATATGATTTCAGTGTTAACCTAGCTATCATCCAGGAGTAAATTATTAATTCCTATATATTTGTATAGTTTGAGGGCTCCTTTTGAAGTTGGTTCCTAGTTTTATTCCACTGGAGGCTGAGAATATGATAGGATTTTGATTTTTTTAAATTTATGGACACTTGTGGCCTATCATATGGTCTATCTTGGATAATGTTTCATGTGCTGATTAGAAGATGCCATTCTGCAGATATCAGGTAAATGCTCTGTAAATAGCCATTAAGTCTATTTGTTCTAGCATGCCATTTAAGTCTATTGTTTTTCTGTTGACTTTCTGTCTTGACTATCTATCTAGGGCTTTCAGTGGAGTATTGAAGTCTCTCAATATTATTGTTTTGCTGTCTATCTCATTTCCTATGTCTAGTAGTAATAGTTTTATGAATCTAGGAGCTGCAGTGTTTTGTGCACATAAATTTAAGATTTTAATATCTTCTTGTTGAGTTGATCATTTTATCATATAGTGACCACCTTTGTCTTTTTTTTTTTACTGTTGTTGCTTTGAAGTCTGTTTTATCTGAAATAAGAATAGCTACTTCTGCTTGCTTTTGGTTTCCATTTGGGTGGACTACCATTCTCTACCCTTTTACCTTGAGTTTATACGAATCCGTCTATGTTAGGTGAGTCTCTTGAAGACAGCAGGTACTTGAAATGTGATTTTTTAAAATCCATTCTGCCATACTGTATCTTTTTACTGGAAGATTTATGCCATTTACATTCAATGTTGATGTTGAGATGTGAGATATTATTCTCTTCACCACATTAATTGTTACCCAGATAATTTCTTTTTGTGTTATTGTTTTATAGGCTGTATGAATTTTAAGCTTTCAAGAGGTTCTATCATGGTGCATATTGGGAGTTCATTTCAATGTCTAGAACTCCTTTTAGCATTTCTTGTAATGCTGATTTGGTAGTGAAAAATCCCCTCAGCATTTGTCTGAAATGACTTTATTTCACCTTGGCTTATAAAACTTGATCTTGCAGGATACAAAATTCTTAGCTGACAGTTGTTCTGTTTAAGGAGTTTGAAGATAGGCCTCTAATCCCTGCTAGCTTGTAAAATTTCTGCCGAGAAATCTACTTTTAGTCATAGGTTTTTATTTGTAGGTTACCTGATGCTTTTGTCTTACTGCTCCTAGAATTCTTTTCTTCATGCTGATTTTAGATAGCATGATGATTATATGCCCTGATGAACAACTTTTTTGCAATGAATTTCCTGGGAGTTCTTTGAGCTTCTTGGATTTGAGTACCTAGATCTCTAGCTAGGCCAGGGAAGTTTTCTTCCATTATTCCCTCAAATAATTTTTCCAGACTTATTATTTTCTCTTCTCCCTCAAGATCACCAAATTATTCTTAGGTTTGGCCATTTTACATATTCCCATATTTCTTGGAGACTTTAGTCATTTCTTTTTGTTCTCTTTGCTTTATTTTTGTCTGAGTAAGTTAATTCAAAAGCTTTGTCTTCGAGCTCTAAAATTCTTTCTCTTACATGTTCTAGTCTATTGTTAAAACTTTCCACTGTATTTTATAATTCCCTCAGTGTGTCTTTCATTTCCAGAAATTCTGATTGGTTTTTCCTGATGATATCTATCACTCTAGAAAATTTTTTATTTATATTATGAGCTGATTTTTAAATTTCTTTATGATGGCTTCCACCTTTCTCTAACATCTCTTTGAGTAGCTTAATAATTAATCTTCTGAATTTCTTATTTGGTTTTTCAAATCTTTCATCTTGGTTTGGGTCCATTGTTGGAGAGCTAGTGTGATCTTTTGGGAATGTTACTTCTCATTTGGGTAGACTATTTCTTCTAGTTATGCTTGAATTTATATTTGATTTCACTTTGTTTCTTTTGTTTGTTTGTTTTCATTTTTTCTCCGTAAGTATGATACTTTAGTGTTTATAGTTAATTATAGCCTAAGTGAGTTCTTGGTACTTTCACGGGTGAAGACTAGAGTTATTTGGTTATAGAGAGTCTCTGTACGATGGCTGTCTCATATGCTCCTTGTAGTAGCAATGTGCTCAGAGCAAGTTCACCATCTCCTATGGAGTTGGAATATTATATGTCTCAAAAAGCTTATCTCATCCCCCTGTGGCATGTATTATTTATTTATTTATTTTCCCCTAGTATTTACCTTTTATTTACTAGTTTGATGGATCAGGCTTCAAACTAGTAGAGGAGGTGTCCCTGGGTAGAAACCAATTATAGCTAAAGCAAGTGGGGAAATGAGGCCCCAGCCTTGACAGAGGTGGCTAGAAGAGCTCTCCGTGGGTTGCACTAAGGTCTTATCAGGGAGAAGGGTTGGAGCCACCTCAGCTGCCTTGCCAGGTCAGCAGGAAAGTTATCTACCTCTCAGATATACTCCTGTCCCAGTGTTCCAGCTATTCAGATCAGACAGGCACATCTTTTCATCTGTAGGAATGTTGATGTTCCAAATAGAAAGGAATTGTGACTCTGTCTCTCAAGCAAGCCTCAGCCTGAAGAGTGTTCCTTCTATGGGGATGCTGTCACCCTGACATGTCCCAGAAAGGCTGTCCATAGTTACACCCATGCTGAGCTCCTGTGGAAGAAACCCCAACATGTGCCTACCATGATGGACAAGGGGAAAATACTTCCTCTTCTCCAAGACCCTTCACATGCACCAGGGCTGTCTGAGTGTTAGGATATAGCTGAAGACTTTTCCTACTGAGCCCAGCACTACAACTATGCCTCTGCTGAAAGAAGCTTCCCAGTAGTGGAAGGATCTAGTACTCAAGGCCTGCTGTCTAGATTATTTTGTCCCACATGGTGTTCCCTTGATGTGTTGCCATCCCCCTTCTAGGAGTGGGAGTCACTGGGAGCTAGACTACTGTGAGTGTTGTTGCTCCTTCGATTCTAGCTGCACAGTGAAGTGTCCACACTCCTGGGCTGGTGTTAGGGAATGTCTGCAAGGGATTTGGTAGTGTGACCTGTCCTAAAGTTTCCCAGCCCCAGGTAGCAGCACCAGCTCTAATGGGCATGACAGGGGAGTGATATAGACCCTGAAATATCTTGTTTATTGATAGCTGTACTGTGTTGGCTTTCTTGAATGCCAGTTATAGTAGTAATAAGCTGGTCATGTGGACAAACTCAGGACCTCCTGGTTAGCCATAGTGGTGCAGGCAGTGGTAATAGCTGAGATTGTGCAGCCATTTTCTCCTTCCTGGGTGCAGTGTTATTCTACAAGGAGATACTGTGGTGGAGTGTGTTTGTTTGCCTCCAGCCAGGAGGTGGTGCTTGCAAAAGAGCACTAGTTGCAGTAGTAGCAGTGGGATTTTTGCTTGCCTTATGTTGCTCAGGGTGAGTAGTCTGGTTTCCCTGGCAATGAGTGGGGCCATGTAGCTCACAAGGTATTCTGCCTTTTATGTTAAGCTTCTTCTACTTTGTATACTTTATCTGATGTTCATAATATAGTTTCTGTCTGTGTCCGAGTTAGGAAAAGCATTTTCTGCTTTTAAAAATATATAGAAAATAAAGAAAAATTCAAGTGAGGAAGACAGGCAGGAGGGAAAGAAGGGAAAACATAATAAAATAATTTTTTCTATATTAATGCTGGATGAAAAATATAAGTTATATTACTCTCCTACTTAGATCTTACATAATCCCTTGGCTGAAAATAGAAGTTATATATCTATGTCTATATCATCTATCTATATCTATATCTAATCTATCTACATCTATCCACACACACACATACGTTCATGGTATATATATGTATATATGTAAACATATTGCACAATTTTTTATAATTACAAATAAAAGTAATACATAGTTTATGTTTACTTCTAGAAAGTACAGGTATGCAGATAAATTAAAAACAATTAAGGTAAATAAAAGCAAACTAAACCAAATTATAAGACCTATTCGCAGCTGCCAAAGTTAAATTATCTCTTAATGTTTTGGTTTCTGATTAAATTTACAAACTTATGTATATATGCACACAGATAATGTTACATATATAAGTATATGTAATGTATGTCATATATTACATATTTGTGCACATATGTGTGCATATATTATACATAAATAATATATACATATGTATTAATATATGTGTATATCATATTCTGTGTATATATTATATATAATATACATGTACACATGTATATAGTATTTACATATGATATGTTGTATATATTATATACACAAATACATGCATAAATATATGCACATATTTACATATATTATAATGGTAATAAATTACTCAGGTTCTTTTATAGACTAGTTTTTTCTTAAAAATATGTTATAGATATTCTTTTAATTAAAAATATTATGCTATAACTATTTAGCAGCTATAAATTATTTTATTGCATGAGTATTCTATTACCTCTTTTAAAAATCAGAATCAGTGTTCAACCAGAGAAATTGAACAGCCAGATAAATTGATAACTGCTAATATATATCAACCACAGAAATGGATATATATTGGATTTTTTACAATAAGTCAGTTTACATGATTGTGGGCACCTGCAAGACAAATCTGAAATTCTGTATCTATCAAGAAGAGCAGATTGGAACTCTCAATCTGCTCAATCAAGCTCTTAATCTGAGCTAAAGCCGCTGTTTAAAGATAAAGTTTATTTTTCCTTAAAAATGCCTCGGTTCGACCAGCATCATCCTGATGCCAAAGCCTGGCAGAGACACAACAAAAAAAGAGAATTTCCGACCAATATCTCCGATGCTCAGTAAAATACTGGCAAACTGAATCCAGCAGCACATCAAAAGACTTATCCACCATGATCAAGTAGGCTTCATCCCTGGGATGCAAGGCTGGTTCAACATATGCAAATCAATAAACGTAATCCATCACATAAACAGAACCAACGACAAAAACCACATGATTATCTCAATAGATGCAGAAAACGCCTTTGACAAAATTCAACAGCCCTTCAAGCTAAAAACTCTCAATAAATTAGGTATTGATGGGACGTATCTGAAAATAATAAGAACTATCTATGACAAACCCACAGCCAATATCATACTGAATGGGCAAAAACTGGAAGGGTTCCCTTTGAAAAGTGGCACAAGACAGGGATGCCCTCTCTCACCACTCCTATTCAACATAGTGTTGGAAGTTCTGGCCAGGGCAATTAGGCAGGAGAAGGAAATAAAGGGTATTTAATTAGGAAAAGAGGAAGTCAAATTGTCCCTGTTTGCAGATGACATGATTGTATATCTAGAAAACCCCATTGTCTCAGCCCAAAATCTCCTAAAGCTGATAAGCAACTTCAGCTAAGTCTCAGGATACAAAATCAATGTGCAAAAATCACAAGCATTCTTATACACCAAGAACAGACAAACAGCCAAATCATGAGTGAACTCCCATTCACAATTGCTTCAAAGAGAATAAAATACCTAGGAATCCAACTTACAAGGGACTTGAAGGACCTCTTCAAGGAGAACTACAAACCACTGCTCAATGAAATTAAAAAGGATACAAAGAAAAGGAAGAACATTCCATGCTCATGGGTAGGAAGAATCAATATCGTGAAAATGGCCATACTGCCCAAAGTAATTTATAGATTCAATGCGATCCCCATCATGCTACCAATGACTTTCTTCACAGAATTGGAAAAAACTACTTTAAAGTTCATATGGAACCAAAAAAGAGCCTGCATCGCCAAGTCAATCCTAAGCCAAAAGAACAAAGCTGGAGGCATGATGCTACCTGACTCTAAACTATACTACAAGGCTACAGTAACCAAAACAGCATGGCACTGGTACCAAAACAGAGATATAGATCAATGGAACAGAACAGAGCCCTCAGAAATAATGCTGCATATCTACAACCATCTGATATTTGACAAACCTGAGAAAAACAAGCAATGGGGAAAGGATTCCCTATTTAATGAATGGTGCTGGGAAAACTGGCTAGCCATATGTAGAAAGCTGAATCTGGATCCCTTCCTTACACCTTATACAAAAATTAATTCAAGATAGATTAAACACTTACATGTTAGACCTAAAACCTTCAAAACCCTAGAAGAAAACCTAGGCAATACCATTCAGGACATAGGCATGGGCAAGGGCTTCATGTCTAAAACACCAAAAGCAATGGCAACAAAAGCCAAAATTGACAAATGGGATCTAATTAAACCAAAGAGCTTCTGCACAGCAAAAGAAACTACCATCAGAGTGAACAGGCAACCTACAGAATGGGAGAAAATTTTTGCAATCTACTCATCTGACAAAGGGCTAATATCCAGAATCTACAATGAACTCCAACAAATTTACAAGAAAAAAACAAACAACCCCATCAAAAAGTGAGCGAAGGATATGAACAGACACTTCTTGAAAGAAGACATTTATGCGGCCAAAAGATGCATGAGAAAATGCTCATCATTGCTGGCCATCAGAGAAATGCAAATCAAAACCACAATGAGATACCATCTCACACCAGTTAGAATGGCGATCATTAAAAAGTCAGGAAACACAGGTGCTGGAGAGGATGTGGAGAAATAGGAACACTTTTACACTGTTGGTGGGACTGTAAACTAGTTCAACCATTGTGAACGTCAGTGTGGCGATTCCTCAGGGATCTAGAACTAGAAATACCATTTGACCCAGCCATCCCATTACTGGGTATATACCCAAAGGATTATAAATCATGCTGCTATAAAGACACATGCACACGTATGTTTATTGTGGCACTATTCACAACAGCAAAGACTTGGAACCAACCCAAATGTCCAACAATGATAGACTGGATTAAGAAAATGTGGCACATATACACCATGGAATACTATGCAGCCATGAAAAATGATGAGTTCATGTCCTTTGTAGGGACATGGATGAAGCTGGAAACCATCATTCTCAGCAAACTATCGCAAGGACAAAAAGCCAAACACCGCATGTTCTCACTCATAGGTGGGAATTGAACAATGAGAACACATGGACACAGGAAGGGGAACGTCACACTCCGGGGACTGTTGTGGGGTGGGGGGAGGGGGGAGGGATAGCATTGGGAGATATACCTAATGTTAAATGACGAGTTAATGGGTGCAGCACACCAACATGGCACATGTATACATATGTAACTAACCTGCACATTGTGCACATGTACCCTAAAACTTAAAGTATAATTAAAAAAAAGCCTCAGTTCTGCTCTTAAGATTTTTAACTTGATTGACTCCAAAATAGTCTTCTTATATAAAGTCTACTGATTATGGACTTTAATCACATCTGCAATATGCCTTCACAGCAACATTCAGATTAGTGATTGATTGAATACTGGAGATGCTAGTCTAGCCAAGTTGACACATAAAACACAATCATAAAGTTCATCACTGGTACCCATTATCTTGTTTATTTATATTTTATATATTTGAACATATGCATTTGTATTTGAAGTAAATCTTTTTTTGGTGATAAACATGAAAAGATGTTTTTAAATTAGGTTTATCACATATCATTAAATTAGAATATCTGTGCCTATTTGCATTTTCGTCAAAACTATATGGTAATAATTTGTTTCCCTACACATTTTACATAGGGTGTTAGTATTATTTAGAAATTTGAAAATTTGTAATGTCCACTATTTCTAAAACAGTATTTAACAACCAGTAAATAAAAATTTATATTCGTGGATTGTTAAATCTTTTCCCTAGAATAGAATGCATCTAAGTCTACAATTTGGATTCTTATATTCATTAGATGTATTTAATTCACTGTGTACAATTTACCTCAAAATTGTATAAAAATAATACCACATTCTCTCTTTTTGCTACTTAAGAAAGAAACTTTATAGTATGTTATATAATTACTGTAAGGGTTTTTAAGTTTCAAAGTCAATGATTGATTTATTAATGTTGCCATCTTAGGAAGAAACATTTATAGCCTAGATTTTGGTTTATTCACTCTAATAAGTCATTTTTTAGAATTTTTTTTAGTCCTTCAAAAGAGAAAGTTTTTCTTATTTGTAACAGGACATAATTTCTTTCTAAGAGAATTATAGTATTAGATGAGGTAATATATGGAGAGAGTATGAAAAAATTTGTGATATTTTGTAAAGCCTTAATCGTAGCTATTATTATTATTTAAAAAATAATAAAGTCTGAAAAGAAGATTCTGTGATGATGGCTCTGTAGTCAGCATTGGAAAGCTCTCGTCTCACCTAGACAACAGCTGCAGTGGCAGAATCTGTTTAATGAAGTATTTTGAAACGCTAAAATCCGTTGAAGGCTTGCAGTGGCCAAAGAATGAATTGAACAAACATATGAAATTGATTTTTCAGTTGCCACACTTAGCAGAGTGTCTACCCTCACCACCCACCACATGGCAAGAATTCATGCGTGTGTTCCTAGAGCAACCTGCATGCAGACTGCCAGAGCCATGGTGGGCTAAAAGACCTCTGTTTCTGAATATCAGGGATCTGTGCTCTGACCACTGAATAACGCTTCCGTCTGAACACAGAGTCTGCACCTGCCTAAAGATATCGGCCTGTAAGTCCACTGATTAATGCTTTTAATCACAGACATGCAGACATAGAGGCAGGAAGTCATTGTTGAACCACCTCCCTACCATGTTGCAAGTGTGTGGCTCAAGGGACGTCCAGAGAA
The DNA here is from genome assembly GCF_000001405.40 of Homo sapiens. Classification (NCBI taxonomy): domain Eukaryota; kingdom Metazoa; phylum Chordata; class Mammalia; order Primates; family Hominidae; genus Homo; species Homo sapiens. Next base: position 38,518,091 of record NC_000011.10, on the reverse strand, counting down.
TTTAAAGAGTGAGCACAACTTTTACTCTCCATTCCTTCATTTTTCTTGTTTTTCTCTTTTGGGAGCCAGACACTAAAGACCAGGATATTCAGAAGCAAGTGTACATCTGGGAAAAATTAGAAAGTGACTGCGCATGCCCAGGTAAAGGCATAAGCTTAGTATTTACCTAAGAAGTCTTTAAATTTACACTTCTAGCTGATCTTTGCTGCAGAGACAGCTACAGCAATTAGAAAAACAGTAACAATAAGCATAAACAAACATCAAAAATAACCCAGCAAACGTTGGGGAAGGGGGGTAATCGGATATCAAGAGTTAGATTATTGCATTCAAATGTTAGCTTTAACAAAAAATCACAGTCATACAAAGTGTTTTAGTCCATCTGAGCTGCTAAAACAAAACACCTTGCTTGTATAATTTATGAATAACAAAAATGTATTGCTTACAGTCAATAGAGGCTGAGAAGTCCAAGATCAAGGCACCAGCAGAATTAATCTTTGGTGAGGGCTCTCTCTGTGCTTCAGAGATGGTGTCTTCTTTCCATGTTCTCACATTATGAAAAGTGTGAACAAACTCCTTTGTGCCTTTTTTTTTTAAATAAGGACAGTAATCCCATTTATAAGGGTAGAGCCCTCATGAACTACTCACCTTCCATAAGCCATACCACTTAATAACAGCAATTTAAAAGTTTGGTTTCAACATAAAAATGTTGAAGTAACAAAAACAGACTATACAATAAATAAATAGTAAAGTATAATCTATTCAAAAGAAAAAAAACATCACTAGAAACTATCCCAAGAATATTTTTATGGCACCTCCACTAGCCACAGACTTGAGACAACTGTTTTAAGGATGCTCAATGGACACAAGAAAGATTTCAAGAACGTCAAGAAAGCAATGTGTTAAAAAATGGAAATATTAATAAACAGACAAGGAACCTAAAAATGTACCAAAAGAAAATTCTGAAGCTGAAAAGTATAATAACTGAAATGCAAAACACGTTAAAGGAATAAAAAGGAATATTTCAGAAGGCAGAGAAAAGAACCAGTGAACTTGAAGATAGGACAATGGAAATTATCAAACCTTCTTAGAAAGAGAAATAAAAAAATTAGAGAAAACAAAAGAGAGCGGAAGAGATATGTGGGACACCATCAAACAAACCAAAATATGTATTGTAGGAATCTTACAAGAAGATGAAGAGAAAGAGACATAAAGAATATTTGAAGCAATGGTGAGTGATGATGTTCCAAATCTGATATATGAAAGACAAATATATAAATATCAAAGCAGCTTGAGAAACTCCTAGAAAGATGAATTCAAAGACCCACACCAACACACATTACAATCTCACTTTTCAATGACAAAAGCAAACACAAAATCTTGAAAGCAGCAAGACAGAAGTGACTTCACATGAAAAGAATTCTCAATACCATCATGAGCAGATTTTCCATCAAAAACCTTGGAGGTCCGAAGGTAGTGAAATGATATATCGCAAGTGGTAAGAAAAAAATTATCAATGAGGAATACTATATCTGGAAAAACCATCTTTCAAGTATGAGGGACAACTTTAAAGATCTCCAGATAAATGAAATCTGAGAGAGTTTGTTACACTGGACCTGCCCCGCAAGAAATGGTTCAGTAGGGGGAAATAAAAGGACATTAGACAGTTGCATAAAGCTGTATAAAGAAATAATGATGTCAATAAAGTTATATACATAAGCAGTTAGAACAATTAATAGTATTTTAACAATGGTTTGTAACTCCCCTTTTTGTTTTCTACCTGATTCAAGAGACTAATACATGTAAAAGTCTTAATATTTTGTTTTGAGACACACAATTTGTAAAAGAGTAATTTTGTAATTTTAACAACTAAAATGGATGAAAATAAAGCTGTAAAGGAGCAGAGTTTTTGTATGTTTTGAAGTAAAGCCAGTGTAAATTTATATTAGAGTGTTATAACTTTAGAATGCTAAGTGTAATCTCCATGGTAACCATAAAAATATAGCTATAGACATTACATAAGAAGAAACTAGAAAGATATTTAAACATTTCTCTGAAAAAAAACCTACTAAACACAAAGGAAGACAATAATGCAGAAAATGGAAGACAAAACACTCTAAGGCATAGAGAAAATAAATAGCAAAGTGACAGAAATGACTTTCTTTATAATTACTTTTAATTTACGTGGATGAAAGTCTTCAATCAAAAGTCAGACTAGCAAAATGAATAAAATCACATGATCTGCCTTTATGCCATCTACAAAATATTATTTTAGATCCAAAGACAGGAATAGATTGAAAGCAAAAGGATAAAAAAAATTACATGCAATCAGTAAACAAAAATTAGCAGGGTTCTTATGCTACTATCAGACAATATAAATTTTAAATTAAAATATAAGAGACAGAGAAGGGCACTGTATTTTAATAAAAGCTTCAGCATAGAGAAGATGATATAACAATTATAAAAAATTACTCATCTAATGAGATTCCATCAAAATACATGAAATAAAAATGGACAGAATTAAAGGGAGAAATAGAGAGTCATACAGTGATAGGTGGAGCCATCAATAACCCACTCTCAATAATGGATAGAACAAATAGACAGAAGAAAATAGAGAACTTAAAAAAACACAATAAACCAACTAACTATAACAGATAAATACAGAACATTATATCCAACAACAGCAGTATACACATTCTTTTATTTTCTTTTTACTATTACTATACATTAAGTCCTGGGATACATGTGCAGAACATGCAGGTTTGTTACATAAGTATATATGTGCCATGGTGGTTTGCTGCACCCATCATTCATCATCTAGGTTTTAAGCCCAGCATGCATTAGGTATTTGTCCTAATGCTATCTCTCCCCTTGTCCCCTACCCCCTGACAGGCCCTGGTGTGTGATGTTCCTCTCCCTGTGTCCACGTCACATTTTTTTAAAGTACACGAGGAACATGTTCCAGTATAGTTCATTTGTTAAGCCACAAATTAAGTCTCAAAAGATTGAAAACAGGATAGCTATTATGCAAAGTATCTTCTCTGACTGCAATGAGATAAAATTAAAAATAAATCAGTAAAATGAGAAAATGTACAAATTTGTGGAAATTTGGAAAGCATACTCTTAACCAGTTGACCAAATAAAAAAATCACAAGGGAAATGAAAACAGAACATACCAAAAATTAAATTACAGAATGTAGTGAAACCAGTGCCAAGGGAAAAATGTATAGCTTTAAATGCTTACATCAAAAATCAAGAAAGAGCTCCAATCAACAATCTAACTTTACAACTTAAGAAATGAAAAAAACTAAACCAAAGGTAGCAGTAAGAAGGAAATAATAAAGATTAGAACATAGATAAGTGAATATAAAAGAACAATAGATAAAATTAATAAACTCAAAAGTCATTTATTTGAAAAGATAAATTGAAAAAGCTTTAGTAAAATGGACTAAGAAAAAAAGGGAATACTTGTTACCAAAATTAGAAATAAAAGAATTGTTTGTGTAGATTTACTACCAATTCTATATAAATGAAAAGAATTCAAGAAGAGTGCTATGAACAACTGCATGCCATCAAATTGGGTAGCCTAAATGAAACAGAGAAATTTCTAAAAACATAAAAACCACCAGGCCTAAATCACTAACTAGAACATCTCAATAGGCTTATAACTAGTAAGGAAATTGAATTAGTAATATAAACCTCCCAACAAAGAAAAGTTCTACATCTGATGGCTTTACTGGTAAATTCTGCCCAACTTTTAAGGAGGAACTAACACTATTTCTTCTCAAAGTTTACAAGAAAAAAAAATTAGAGCAGAAAAAACTTTCTACTTTGTTCTAAGAGGTCAACATTACCCTCTGATATAGTGTGGATGTTGGTGATGCCCACAATTCATACACTGTAACATAATACCCAAAGTGATACTATTAAGAGGTGAGGGCTTTTAGAAGTGATTAGGTCATGATGCACACACCTTCATGTATGAAATTACACCCTTTTAAAAGAAGCCTGAGGTAGCTAGTTAGTCTTTTATGTCAAGTGAGAACACAGGAAGAAGGCCCCAGCTTTGAAGCACAAAAAGAGCCCTTCCCAGACAGCAACTCTGCTGGTGCCTTGATCTTGGGCTTCCTAGCCTCCAGAACTGTGAGCAATAAGTTTCTGTTGTTTTTAAATTACTCCATCTAAGACATTTTGTTACAGCAGACAAAATGAAGTGAGATATCTAGATACCAAAGCCAGACAAAGACACCGTAAGAAAGCTACAGACCTGTCATAAATATTGATGCAAAAATTATCACCAAAATATTAGAAAACCAAATTCAGTAATACATTAAAAAGAACATATACTATGACCAAATGGGATTTATTTCTGAAATACAAGGATGATAAAACATGCAAAAATTAATCAATGTAATACACCACATTTACATATCGAAAGAAAAAATACACATAATCATCTCAATTAATGCAGAAAAAACAATTGACAAAATTTAACACCCCCTCATGATAAATACATTGAACAAACTAGGAATAGAAGAAAATTATTTCAACATAACAAAAGCCATATCTGAAAAACACACAGCAAACATTATTCTCCATAGTAAAGAATGCAGCCTTTTCCTTTACACCAGTAACAAGGTAAGGGTGCCTACTTGTACCACAAGTATTTCAATATAGTATTGCAAGTTTTAGCCAGAGCAAGTAGGCAAGAAGGAGAAATAAAATAAATCCAAATTAGAAAAGAAATAAAATAATTATTGCTCACAGATGATATAAACTTGAATAATGAAACCCATAAAGATTATGCTCACACACAAAAACCGTTAGAACTAATAAGTGAAATAAGCAAAGTAGCAGGATGTGAAGTCAACACATTAAAAATATCATGTGTAAAGGATTATAAATCATGCTACTATAAAGACACATGTACATATATGTTTATTGTGGCACTATTCACAGTAGCAAAGACTTGGAAACAACCCAAATGTCCATCAATAATAGACTGGATAAAGAAAATGTGGCACATATACACCATGGAATACTATGCAGCCATAAAAAAGGATGAGTTCATGTCATTTGCAGGGACATGGATGAAGGTGGATAACATCATTCTTAGCAAAATATCACAAGAACGGAAAACCAAACACCACATGTTTTCACTCATAAGTGGAAACATCACACACCAGGGCCTCTTGGGAGGGGTAGGGGGCCGGGGGAGGGATAGTGTTAGGAGAAACACCTAATGTAAATGACGAGTTGATGGGTGCAGCAAACCAACCTGGCACATGTATACCTATGTAACAAACCTGCACATTGTGCACATGTACCCTAGAACTTAAAGTATTATAATAAAAAATTGTGTTTCTACATATTAACAATGAACAATATGAAAACAAAATTATGAAAGCAATTCCATTTGCAATAACATCAAAAGAATATAATACTCAGGAGTTAACCAAGGAGGTGAAAGATTTGTATGATGAAAATTACAAAACTTTACTGAAAGAAATTAAAGAAGATGTAAATAAAAGAAAATAAATCCCATGTACATAAATTAAATGAGTTAATGTTGCTAAGATGTCAATACTACCCAAAGTGATGTACAGATTGAATGCAATCCCTATCAAAATACCAGTTTTCTTTCCATAAATAGAAAAAACCATTAGAAAATTTATATGGAATTACAAGGGATTCCTATTAGCCACAACTATTTTAAAAGAATGAATAAAGATGGAAGACACACTTCTCGATTTCAAATCTTACTACAAAGCCACAGTTACAAAACAGTGTGGTGGTGGCATAGAGATAGACATATAGAGCAACAGAAGAGAATACAGAGTCCAGAAATAATACCTTTCATATATGGTCAAAAGATCTTTTCACAAATGTGGCAAGATCATTCAAAAAGAAAAGAACAGAACTTTCAATGAAGATTCTAGGAAAATTGGATATATAAATGCAGAGGAATGAAGTTGACCTCTTTTCTAACACCATAAACAAAAATTATCTTCAGGTGCATCAAAGAACTAAATATAAGATCTAAACCTATACAAACTCCTAGAAAAACACCCACGACAAAAGCTTTAAGACATTGGAATTGGCAATAATTTCTTGGATATTACATCATAGACATAGGCAACAACAATAGAAAAATAGACAAACTGAAACTTTGTTAAAATTGTCGTCAAATAACAATATCAATAAAGTCAAAAGGCAACCCACAGAATGAGAGAAAATATTTGCAAATCAAATATCTGATGAGATTAATATGTGATATTTACAGAGAATTCCTAAAACAACAGAAAAACAACCAACCTGAGTCAAAATTGGGCAAAAGACTTGAATACATATTTCTCCAAGGAGGATATACAAGAGGTAAATAAGCACATGAGAAGATGCTCAACAGCACTAATCATTAGCAAAATTCAAATCAAAATTACAATGAGATAGCACCTTATACCCATTAAGATGGCTACCATTAATAGCACTACTAAATAAGTGTTTTGTGACAATGTGGAGAAATTGGAGCCCTTGTGCACTGTTGGTGGAAATGTAACATGGCACAGCCACTGCGTGAAAAACAGTGAAAACAGGATTGAAAATGGAATTACTGTATGATCCAGGAATTCCACGCGAGAATATACCCAAAATAATTGAGGCCAGAGTCATGAAGACACATTTGTACACCCATGTTAATAGCATATTAAAATAGCTAAAAATTAAAGAATAAATCCAAATCTTGTATGTATGGATGAATGGATAAGCAAAAAAGTGATACACTGTAAATATGTGTACAAGGATATTATGCAGCCTTAAAAAGGAAGTTATTTCTGGCATATGCTATTACATAGATGAATCTTGAGGACACTATGATAAGTGAAATAAGCCAGTAACAAAAGGAAAAAATTCTGCACAATTTCATATATATAATATCTTTAAAATAGCCAAAATGATAGAAACAGGAAGTCGAATGGCAATTGTCAATGGCTGGGGGAAGGAAGGAATGAGGAGATACTGTTTAATGGGTATAGAGTTTCAGTTTTACAAGATGAAAAGATCTATAGAGGTAGATAGTGGTGATGGTTGTACAATATTATTAATGTATTTAATAACACTAAACAATGTTCTTAAAGATGGTTAAAATGGTAAATTTTATGTTATGTGTATCTTACCACAATTTTAAACATTGGGGAAAATGGTAATAAAAACTGGACAAAGCATCTTGCTTTCCTAGCGAAGGTTTCTCAGAGTTTGAATCCTTATTTTCCCAGTTATTATACGTGTAGCCATAGGTAAATTATGCAACAACACCGAATTACCTTTTTCTACCTAATATAGGACTACACTCACGTCTATCTCTTAGTGTTATTGTGAAAATTATATAACAAAATGAGAGAATATAACAAGAGCTTGGGAGATCACAAATGTCTACAAAATGATATTAATTACAGAACATTGTTTTGATGAGTATTCATGCTTTCTTTTAGTATATGAAATGAAGTTCTTGTTTTGATTAATTTTATAGGGCAATTACAGTTTATAAAACATAATTTCTTTGCTAAGTCTAAAGGAATTATTTATTTTTGGCCCATTTCAAATAAGTGGGTTTAAATTAAGCCATTTTGTTTGCCTACCTAAGAAAATCCCTATAAAACTTTCTAAAACCCCCGAGTGTTCTAAGCATTTGGCATTTGCTAGGTGGGGGAAAATGCCATGCTTGCATTAGCTGAGAAACTGTGTCCTTTATTACATTATATGCCACACTCCAGAGTAGCAAGGCACAATGGCTTCCAGGCAGTTTGGGAACAATTGTCATGCCCTATTAAAAAACATAAAGAGCACAGTATGTTTTCCTCTATTATCCAAAGCTGTACTTTTTATTGCTGCCTCTCTGGCCCTTAATGGTTCTAAACAGCAGGCAGAGGGATAGTGACAAGTTGAAGGTGACTTCAAGCTTCAGATCGTGCTCTAGTGATAACTACATGTTGCCTAAAGCTGAAAGACCAGTTCCCTTTGCTCTTTATACCCAATATAATCTGGCTGGAAAACACTGATGAATGAATTCCAGAAGGTGTTTCACTTTGTTTTAAAGTCTTCTTAGATGAAGAATCCAAAAATATACTTTGCAGGCTGGTAACATTTTGGCAAAGCTATTCATTATGACATGCAAACATTGAACCCCAGCCAAAATGAAATGTGGCTCCACATGCTGAATGAATTTTGATTATTGATATTTTTATGAAATTGTTATGAAAAACATGAGAAATGAAAATATAATAGGTACTAATTAATTAGAAGCCAACCAAAATAATAATTCTCTGCAGAGATGGACTGATCAGAAAGCGAGTAGTTACCTCACTTATCACAATGTCCTCCAATTTGATCCATGCTTTCAACTGTGGCAGGATACACTGCAAAATGTGATAAGAGAGTAGATTTTATGTGATGTGTTCTTACCCCAGTAAAAATAATAATAATAAAAGTGAGCAGTCATTTGCCAAGATGTCTCACAAACTCTTGAGAAAATTATCAGTTTGAGGCAAGAGAAGTGTCAAAATCTACACAGCTGTTCAATAAATGTTTATGGTGAGATAAATACACTGTGTTAACATATATTATTACCATCTTTATTCTAATAAGCATTCCAATAAATAGCAGTAAAATATGAGACAATTAGTCCAAATTTGAAAAAGGAATACTGTTATAATTCACATAGTATGCACGCTTGAATATGCACACAGAATCAATTCTCACTCCTAGTTAAATTGTTTCTATTTGGTGCCTGATAATGTAAGTGATGGAGTATTTTATTATAAGATGAGTGAAATTGAAACAAATCTTGAGAACTTGGAGTTGTTTTTCCGTGAAATAATCATGCTTGTTTTTTTTTTTTATTTTTTTCTTTCTTCCAAAGAGATGTCTCTCCTTCCTTGTTCTTTACATTATTGATACTGCTTATTGATTATTCTATGTTTCTGTTATCTCACATAATGTATAGAAATCCTCAAAAATCACAGATAAGTAATTCGATCATGTTTTAATCTCCTAATTTGACCATATTTTTCTTTATGTTATTTCTCAATATCTGATTATAATTTTAGACTGCCAAGGGACTGGTGACTATCTCTTGGATGATGGTAATTGTCAGTACTTTTCAGGTGTATGGTTTGGCAACCTTTAGCAAAACTCACATTTCCACACATATACATCATTAATCCAGTCTCCAGCGAAACAGTCATTGTCAAAATATTTTTGGTAGGACTGTTCCTCACTTTGCAATTGCCTTGGAACACAGCACCGTGTAACATATGTCATATATCGAGTCAATATGAATGATACTTAATCTACATTTACTCTGCTGTTGTTTTTTTTTTTTTGAAACTGGTAGAGGCAGCAGTTTAGCTTCCGGTCCTTAATTACGTATGTATTTTAACTAATATTGAATTAAAGATTTCTACATAAAATCACAAGATCAAAACAGAAGAGAATGTCTAATATAACCAAGCTGCTAATTGGAAATGTATAAAAGAATTATTTTTCTTATTGCATTCTATATTATTGACACAATTATAGTGTGATACTATTTGTCAAAACTATAGAGTCAAACTGGATATCTGATTTGTGGACTTTCTAATAGGGTATTTCTTTTCTTTTTTTTTTTTTTTTTTGAGACGGAGTAATGCTCTATTGCCCAGGCTGGAATGCCGTGGCGCGATCTCGGCTCACTGCCAGCTCTGCCTCCCGGGTTCACACCACTCTCCTGCCTCAGCCTCCCAAGTGGCTGGGACTACAGGCATCCACCACCACGCCCAGCTAATTGTTTTGTATTTTTTTTTTTTTTTAGTGGAGACGGGGTTTCACCGTGTTAGCCAGGATGGTCTCGATCTCCTGACCTCATGATCCGCCCGCCTCGGCCTCCCAAAGTGCTGGTTTTACAGGCGTGAGCCACTGCGCCTGGCCTATTAGGGTATTTCTTTACATTGTGTTCCTCATATGTTAAAAGACTAAACAGAAAACTGATATTGAAAGTTTCCTTTGTGATAAAAGCAAGTAACCATGTGAGATCAAAAGACTCACTAACCCGTCACTCTTGCACTAGCCAGCACATTTTGTGTGTATATGTGTGTGTGTATATAAACTGAGAGGAGTAATAGATTATTAAAAAATATTTTATATAAGATATACAGAATATCTTTTTTTGTGTATATGTGTGTGTATACAGCCTGAGAGGAGTAATAGATTATTAAAAAATATTTTATATAAGATATACAGAATACAGAATTAAAGTAGAATTTCAGCTATATTAAGGCTTAGTTAAGAGAAGGAATTTAGTGTACCAAGTAACTGTGAAGTATTTCCTTATAAACATTTATGCTGGTGGGGTCTCAATATACTGGGCTTAAATATCAAACAGATTTTATTTTATCAAGTAAGATTTTTTAGTGTGAAAGTTTACATAGGGCTATTTTGGAAGAAGAACATGTGAAATAAGCTGAGAAATTTGGTTACACATTATTTAAAGGTTTTTTATAACATTAAAATTAGTCACTAAAACCAACTGATACGTGACTGAGGAAAACTGATATGTGACTGAGTTGACACCCACTGAAAAAATTACCTATTTTTTTAAAAAAATTATACATAGATCAAAAACGAGGTTCTTCTTGGAAGCCTATTTAGAGTTCTTTGTATGTTTTTCCTGTAATTTGCAGGTTTAGCTTTTTTAAAAATTAAATTAAATGAAGGACTTGGTCAAAATAAATTTAAGGTACAACCAATTTACAAAACTAGTAATACAGAGCTGTTCCATTGAACTGATGATCTGCCTTCATGTAGCCATCCCCTGGACCTGCCATGCACACATCTCCATGTGTGCAAGACACACAAACACTCTCACACGACAGCAGGAAGCTAAGAGAGAGAGGAGAGAGACAGAGACAGGGCGGCAAGAGAAACAGAGGAGTCCCTGACAAGCTTTGAAAAATATTTAGACCCAAAAAGCTATTTTTAAGATCTCTGCTCTTTGTTATTCCTGTTCTATCTATGCAGCTTTTGCTTCATTACTATGGGCCATAACTATGTGCTTTGTGAAATTATTAAGCATAAAGGCAGTAATAATGCAGGTATGTATTTTTCATCATAAGTAGTCACTGGGTTCGGTCCCCTTGCTTACTATAATGAGCCCCAGCAAATAATGAGTTAAGGGTAATGACGAGCCTAAAAATAACCCATATTAATTGATAAGTTGCTTAAAAATTTGGTTACTCTTTTAAATTACTTATGTATTTTAACTCGTTTAATCCTTAAACAATCCTATGCCATTGATAGGCTAATAATAGCTATTATTCTCCCCAAGTTACAGATGAGGAAAGCAAAGCAAAGGCCAAGCAAATGACTTGCCAATATTCAGATATCAAGTGGTGAAGCTTGAAAACTGAACTTCAGAGGCAGATCTTTCAATTTGCGTTACATTGTTTCTCACATAATTACACACAGGACTTTTCACAAAGCAATAATATAAGAAATAAAATTTGGGGAAATAATTATAGCCAAGAAATTGTTCACACTTGGAGACAACTGTAATTATACACACATGTGCACACACAAAACTTCATATGCCAATTGGGAGAAGGTGTAAGGGAACACTCGCTTTATTAACTTCTCAGTGAGATTTTACAAATGTCAAATGCTTTTCATTTATACATAGTCTACGCTAAAGTTTTCTAGAAACAGGAACCCTCTGTTACTCTTCATAAAAACAATGTTGCAATTTGACAATTACATTTCACACAATTACAGGAGTAGCTTATCTCATGCTTCATGCCACAGTTTCTATTTTAATATAGGCTGTCCAGGCTTCTTGAAATAAAATTACTGTGAACTTCTCTGGACTATTCATCAAAATATTTGAAGACGCACTACTATCACCAAAACTAAGATGTCACACACAAGAGTACCTTCATTTAAAGTGTGTAAATGTTAATATATGACAAGGAAGAATGATGTTTTACTAGCATCTTCTCCATAAACTGCATGTGGACACATCTTGTGATTCTTAGGGCAGAAATCAGAAGATGAGTCCTTTTCTACCCTTACCTTATATGGAGGCCAAAGCAACTCTGTCTTGGAGACTCATCTGCCATGTTGACTTCTGGTCAACCCTGGTTCCAAAATGCCTCTAAGATTTCCAGTTTTTCTATTGTTCCTGTTTAAGAGCATGTACTTACCTTAAATCCTGCCTTTAGAGAAAATCAACATTGATAAACTCCTATTTACCATAATCCATGCCCTCAGGGAAAATTCCTATCCATATTTTCTAAGGCACCTTCCCTTCGGTGTGTTATTCCTGAGTCTCAGGGGTAACAGTGTTAGAATCCACCATTTTCTCTCATAGCCACCAGAGACACAGACACGGCTTTAGTTCATAAGTCCCTATTAAATGTTTCTTTCTGTGAAGACAGATTTGTCAGCCTTTTTCTTTGGCCACTCAGCTTCCCTGGACTTCGGAGCAGCTTTGCAGAGACCTGCCCACCATGAAACACTTTATTACCTAGTCGTGGTGGAACCAAAGCATCTATCTTCACAGTACCTGAAAATTTCTCAATCTCTGTTCAGATCATCTGACAAGAAGTATAATTATTGTACCTACTACATGGCAGGCATCATGTTGAGCATGTAGGATGCCAGCTCAAATAATATATGATGTCGTTATTCAATGGAATAAACAAGATAAGATACAAATAAAGTGCATTAAAATATAATGGGTTCGGCCGAGGCGGGCGGATCACGAGGTCAGGAAATCTAGACCATCCTGGCTAACACGGTGAAACCCCATCTCTATTAAAAATACAAAAAATTCGCCGGGCATGGTGGCGGGCGCCTGTAGTCCCAGCTACTCCGGAGGCTGAGGCAGGAGAATGGAGGGAACCCGGGAGGCGGAGCTTGCAGTGAGCGGAGATGGTGCCACTGCACTCCAGCCTGGGGGACAGAGCGAGACTCCGTCTCAAAAAAAAAAAAAAAGAAAAAGAAAAAATATATAATGAGATATAATGAGTTCATGATAGAGAACTGAATAACACGCAACGTAAGGAAATAGGAAGAGCATCTGAGTGAGACAAAACCTGAAGCCAGAGTTGGGATTTCTAGAGGAATGTTATCTTAACTGTGTCTTCAAGTTCAACATTTGGTAAAACGTCTACTTCATAACAGATAAATTAGGCTGTGTCAAATCATAGTAGCATGAAGCCATGCAAATTCTTAAATAAGCCTCATGTCTATTATGGTAAACATCACAATTGAAAATATGGTTTGAGATGAGGCTATCTAGGGATAAGTGGGGGAATTGGTCTCCGGAAAGTTATGCATAATTACTAAATATGTTAAGCAGACTATAACTGCGATGATAATTTTTATTTCATTATTTTTTTTTCTTTTTTGAGACCCAGTCTCACTTTGTTGCCCAGACTGTGGTGCAATGGCACCATCTCGGCTCATTGCAACCTCCACTTCCCAGGTTCAAGCAATTTGCCCACCTCAGCCTCCAGAGTAGCTGGGACTACAGATGCACATCACCACCCCTGGCCAATTTGTGTGTGTGTGTGTGTGTGTGTGTGTGTGTGTGTGTGTGTGTGTGTGTGTTGGTAGAGCTGGGGTTTTGCTACATTTCTTAGGCTAGTCTAGAACTTATGGAGTCAAGCAATCTGCCTGCCTCTGCCTCCCTAAGTGCTGGGATTGTTAACTGGGGCCGGGAGGGGGGGAGTCGGTGGGGGGTCCTTGTTCTTAGAGCTCCCCAGATGGTGGTGGGCTGCTTCCAAGATGGCAAGATGGCTCTTGTTCTCTGACCTGGGGTTTTTGGCCTTACGGATTCTAAGGAATGGAATCTTGGGCCATGGGGTGAGTGTTACAGCTCTATTCAGCTCGATTAGGATGAGCACCTGGCACTTAGCCCTCGCAGGAACAATGGCAAGCCTCTAGCCCTATTGCGAGCGGCAATGGGCGCCGCCTCGCTGGATCAGAAGTGCAGCGGAACCCCTGCTGGATCCAGAGGGGTGGAAGTCAGCGGCGGTGTCTGTGAAGACCACAATCAGCAGTGGGGGATGGCGAGCAAAAGCTCAGCTCCAACCAGAACAATCATGGACCAGAGAGTGTGCAGTTGCAAGATATAATAGAGTGAAAACAGAGCTCTCATACAACAGGAAGGGGACCCAAAGCGGGTTGCGGTTGCCAGCTCGAATGCCTGGGTTTATATCCCGATCATTGTCCCTGCCCTGTGCTCTCAGGGAATAGATGATTGGCTATTTCTTTACCTCCTGTTTTAGCCTAATTAGCATTTTAGTGAGCTCTTTTTACTACCTCATTGGTCGTGTGTGAGCTAAGTTGCAAGCCCCATGTTTAAAGGTGGATGCGGTCACCTTCCCACCGAGGCTTAGGGATTTTTAGTTAGCCTACGAAATCCAACTAGTCCCATCTCACAGGATTACAGGCATAAGCCACTGTGCTTAGCCTGATCATCTTTAATTCTGTTGTTAGTGTTGTGGTTGGATTGGAGGGGATCCTGATTATGATACAGACAGGAGACAGGAAAATACTGGGTAGGAGAGAGCAGTTCCTGAGCAAGGACCCCACCCTCACACCTGGGTATCCGCAGCCCTACGTGAGAACAGGCATTCCTGTTGCCTTTTGGCCCATCAGGTCTCCCTATCCTGTACCCATATAAACCCCGACTACCAGGTTCCAGAAGCAGATGAGGAGACAGGCAAATGAACGACAGAATGGTGAGGCAGAGAAAGAGAGAAAGAATGTTTGAATGCCGAGAGGAGTTTGGCTGGGGGTGGCTGGAGAGGAGTTCAGCCGCTGGAGGGCCAAATCCAGGGGGAGATTGCCTTCCTCCTCCATTGCTCTTCCAGCTCTCCATCCTTCCACCGAGAGCCACCTCCACCATTCAATAAAACCCCACATTCATCCTTCAAGCCTATGTGTGACCTGATTCTTCCAGAACACTGGACAAGAACTTGGGATACAGAAAGCTGTCACGCTGGTGCTCTGCCCTTGCAGAAAGGCAGAGGGTCCATTGAGCTGGTTAACACTTAAGTTGTCTGGCGGATGGCAAGGCTAAAAGACCATAGCGTAACACGTGCCCACTTGGGCTCCTGCACCTGTCCGTCTGTGTGCTCCTCCTCCCATAATGGGTTTGGGCAGCAGCGACCAAACAGACAACCCAAACCCATGTTGCACCTCCTGTGAGGGGTGTCAGGGAACTCTCTCAATTAGAGGCTGAAAATTTAGTTATATTGTTGCACTTACTTAAGTTGGAAGAAGCGAGAGCTTAATATCTGATGAAGAGTGACAAACAAAAGAATTATTGTAAAAGTGGAAGCTATAGAGCATAATCAGATGCAAAGTATGGTAAGTGAGAATGAAGAGGACAAATGTAACCCCCAGTTTTCTTGTTTGGACAAGTATGTTCTCTTTGACATTATTTACTAAATAAGAGGTACTGGAGAAGAAACAGGCTCACAAAGATATGATGAACTTGGTTTCTGATATCCTGGTTTGAGGTGTCAGTGGAATACTCAAGAAAATAGCCACCTTAAGCTCTTTAAATAGTTGAAAACATTCTCCCTAAGAACTGGCGTAAGACAAGGATACCCACTTTTGCCATGGCTATTCAACATAGTATTAGAAGTGTTTGCCAGAGAAATCAGGCAGGAGACATAAATAAAAATCATCCAAATTAGAAAAGAAGAGGTCAAGTTATCTGTGTTTGCTGATTTTATTATCTTATACCTAGAAAACCCTAAATATTCCACCAAAACTCTTGGATTTTATGAATGAATTTAGTAAAGTTTCAGTAAAAATCAACATGAAAAAATCAGTAGCATTTCTATACACCAATAACAATCAAGTGAAGAAACAAATCAAGAACGTAATCCCATTTACAAAAACTACAGAAATATACCTAAAAATATATTCAATCAAAGGAAAAATCTCTACAAGGAAAACTACAATACCCTGATTTAAAAAAAATGTAAATGGCACAAACTAAAAAAAGAATCCCATTCTTATGGAATTGAAGAAATAACATTATTAAAATGAACATACTGCCCAAAGCAATCTATTCAATACAATCCCTCTCAAAATACCAACATTCTTCTTCACAGAATTAAAAAAAAATTCTAAAATTTATATGAAATCAAAAAATTGCCTGGCTAGCCAAAGCAATCCTAAGCAAAAACAACAAAGTCATATTATCTGACTTCAAATTATACTCCAAGGCTATAGAAACAAAAACTGTATGGTACTGGTAGAAAAATACACATAGATCAACAAAACAGCATAAATAACCAAGAAAAAACCACATATCTATAGCTAACTGATCTTTGCCAAAGTTGACAAGAATATATATTAGAGAAGGAATACCCTTTTCAATAAATGGTGCTGGGAAAATTGGAATGCCATATGCAGAATAAAACTAGATCCCCATCTCTCACCATATACAAAACTCAACTCAAGGTGGATTAAATACTTTAATATAAGACCTGAAACCATGCAAATATTAGAGGAAAACCTATGAAACTGTTTTGGACATTGGTGTAGGAAAATGATTCATAACTGAGTCCTCAAAATTACCAGCAAAGAAACAAAAATAGACAAATGGGACTTAATTGAACTAAAAAGCTTCTGCACAGCAAAATTAATAATCAACCAAGTATACGGACAACCTGCAGAATGGGAGAAAACATTTGGAAACTGTGCACCTGACAGGGGACTGATATCCACAATTTAGAAGAAACTCAGACAGCTCAAGAACAACAACAAAAAACAAATGATCTCATTAAAAAGTGGATAAAGGACATGAAAAGACATCCTTCAGAAGAAGACATACATAGGCATGTAGCTTGAAAATAATAAAAGAAGAAAATTATCAAAGGTATACAAATACCTAACAAGCATATGAATAAATACTCAACATCACTAATCATCAGAGAAATGCAAATTAAAACAGTGAAATGTCATCTTATACCAGTCAAAATTGCTACTGTTAAAAAGTAAAAAACTAACAGAAGTTGGCCAGGAGGTGTAGAAAATAAAACACTTATACACTACTGATGGGAATGTAAGTTCACACAGCCTCTATGGAAAACAGTATAGAGATTTCTCAAAGAACTAAAAATAGAGATACCTTCAATCCAGCATTCCGCTACTGGATAGAAAATCAATATATCAAATAGATACCTGCACTCATATATTTATCACAGCACTATTCACAATAGTAAAGATATGAAATCATCCTAAGTGTATGCCAATTGATGATTGGATAAATAATATTTGATATATATATACACAACGGAATACTCTTTGGCCATAAAAAAGAATGAAATCACGCTTTTCTTTTTCTTTTTTTCTTTTTTTTTTCAGCAACATGGATAGAACCAGAGGCCATTATCTTATGTGAAGCAACTCCGAAGCAGAAAGACAAATACTTTTTATGTCTCACTTATAAGTGGAAGCTAAATAATGTGTACACATGGACATAGAGTGTGGAATAATATACACCTAAAACTCCGAAGTGTTGTGGAGTGGGAGGTGGTGTATGATGAGAAATTACGTAGTGAGTATAATGAACATTTTTTGGGAGATGCATATACTAAAAGCCTAGATTTTATTATACCACTATGTAATATATCGATGTAATAAAATTATACTTGTACTTTTTAAACTTATACAAATAATAGTTTAAAAAAACAGTAAATATCTTCCTTTCATAAAGTCAGGATTTATTGTAGAATAAATCCTCCTCATCCCCCAATATTTTGCCTATAGTAAGCAGAGAAATGATCTAGATATTTCAGCAGAGTCAGGTATTTGTCTTTGTTTGGGCTGATTTAAAAAAGTACCAAAGACTGGGTAATTTATAAACAACAGAAGTTTATTTCTTGCAGTTGTGGACGCTGGGGAGTCCAAGATCAAGGTGACAGCAGATTTGGTGTCTGTTGAGGTTTCAATGAGGTCTCTTCTCTTGTGTATTTCTGGTATATAGACGGTATCTCCTAGCTGTGTCCTCAAATGGTGGAAGGGGTAAGGCAGTCGTGGGACCTCTTTCGAAAGAGCATGAATCCCATTCATGAGGGCTCCATGTCATGATCTATCACCTCCCGAAGGCCATCTATACCATCACCTTGGGGGTTAAGATTTTAACATATGAATTTTAAGAGGACATAAACATTCAGACCATAGCAGCATTTGAAGCAAACTTGGCTAAAGTAATAATTCTGGCATATAGATAAATATTGAAAACAAAGAAACACAAAGACATTAAGGGCTATACTTATAAGAAATGAATTTTATGTATATGAGCAAGAGACAAAAGAAGACTCTTTAGATATAAGAGTAAATCTAAAGCAATGGTGTTTGAAATATTTAACAGGTACCAATATGACAAACATATTCAAAATGGGAGTTAATAGGTGAGTCTAAACATTAGGCTTTAAAAATCATTCTAAAATGAAGATTTCATTTCAATTCTACCAATAATTTGGAAAGTTTTTTCCTCTTTTGACCTCAATGCTAAAGCTGAAGGTTGGACAATTGCTTCTTAAGAAGTCCTAGAATAGATAGAAATTTAGACGAGTATATACAGAAAAGAAATGTAGTTTCCAATGTTCTGTTTACACTTCCAAGGATTGTTTTAACTCACGCTGGTGAGTATTCTGCCATATGTCCAGTGAATCATTTGATATCAATGTGATATAAAGCAAATCCTCTAAAAATATATTACTCTTTGTGTATTTGTCAGGGTTCTCTAGAGGGGAGAACTGATAGATGTCTATATGAAGGGGAGTTTATTAGAATTGACTCACATGATCACAAGGTAAAGTCCCACAATAGCCCATCTGCAAGCTGAGGAGCCAGGGAGCCAACCTGAGTCCCAAAACCTCAAAAGTAGACAAGCTGATAGTGCAGCCTTCAGTGGCAAATCACTGGTGTTAAGCCCGAGTCCAAAAGCTGAAGAACTTGGAGTCTGATGTTCGAGGGAAGGAAACATCCAGCACCAGAGACAGATGGAGGCCAGGCTTAGTCAGTCTAGACTTTCCACGTTCTTCTGCCTGCTTTCATTCTGGTAGCACTGGGAGCTTGCTAGATGGTGCCGCCCAGATTGAGGGTGGATCTGTCTTTCCAGTCCACTGACTCAAATGTTAATCTCCTTTGGCAACACTCCCACAGACACACCCAAAAACAGTACTTTGCGTCCTTCAATCCAATCAAGTTGACACTCAATATTAACCATTACACTTTGGCCAGTCTTTCCCCTGACGTAAAGTTAACTGTGGAAAACAATAAGAGATATGCAAAAATGTGAATAGGTGCTATACTGCTTGGTGTATAGGAATTGTATTTTTTTGTATTGTATTTTTTATAAAAATGTTATGAGAAGAATAATATAATTAAATTTATTAAGCATTAGTGTGTGACTGCACTGCAGTGTGTAACACCGACTGGAAGAAAAAGGGACTAAAAGTAATGTGATCACAAGTACTAACTACACTGTTGATATGCTGCACAATCGTTAGACACAATGAGTTCCTTAAACATCTAAATTTTATACACTATGAAAGGATAGGATTTTGTTCTAATTAAACATTCCACTACGTATTACTACACTTGAACAATTTACCTTAGGTATTATGATTCCTCAGTTTACGGTTATCCATAGAGCTAAACACTAAAAATAACAGACCCTTTTTTAAACGTTGATTTTAGAGTCAAGGTGAATTAGAGCAGTCAATCTTCCATATTTACTAAATATTTTATCTCTACCTGTTGGAAGGAAGTTCTTTAATTTCAATGTTCTGTATTTGTTGTAATTATGTTTCCAATTTGATTAATCTAAGACATGAGCCAAGAGTAATTATTTTTTATTTTGTTACGGTATGGATTTTAGGGCACAAGTATGAAATATAGATATTTTCATAAAATATGCTATTATAATAGCACCAACAATAGTAATATATTGACAATAATAGCTTGATATGTGCTAGGCAGTGTTCTCTATTGACTAAATGACCCATTCAATCTTCAAAAAAAAATCAAATTGTAATTTTTATTTTATGTGTAAGAAAACTTAAACAAAAAGCATTTAAATTGTCCAAGTTCACATAGATGGTGGAGGCAAGATGGAATATAGGCTAACTGTCCCCAAATTCTATATTCTCAACTTTGGTCAGGCTAGAAACAATTGTGTCATGTGGTATAATACTAAGGGTTTTGTCTTCATTTCTGTTCTTGGAGTGTTGTTGGTGAAGTGGAGTAACAAGGCTGAGCAAAGAACAGGACTGCACTCATGAATTAGGGAGACTTTTCCATAAAATATTCATTTACTGAGGGAAAAAGGGAAGACGTATTTTATGCTAGGTACATGCTTATGATAAAAATGAGAAAGGAGGAAAATAGCTGAAGAGGAGATAATGAGTATCCTCCTTAGATGGACCTCAACCTGGTCTAATTTCTAAGGAGTCAAGATTTCCAAGTTCCAGTGCGCATGGGCTCTAAAAATCCTCATTGGTAGGTCCCACAATTTTAAAGGGGCAAGAATTTATAGAAAACAAATCTAAATTGACAATGATACAGAATTGAATAGACTTGCATTTTTGTATGCAGCTGAGTAGATATAATTAATTATCTACTAAGTGATTTATCAGGAACCAATACATTTAATATTTCTGAATTACATTTTATGATTGGACATATTGAGGCTAAAATGCAACAACCCAATGAATCACATATGTTACATGGAGATGGCCAGAAATTATATGTTAATCAAGAAAACTTAGTATTGCATCTTTTCTGATATAATGACTTGGTTGTGAGTTCCATTTGCTGACTTTTTAACTTTTTAATGATAAATTATTATCTGTTCAGTATTTTGTGGGTTGTTTGTATAACCCTAGAGCATGTGCTGATGCATATTTGCATATTTGTGGTCTATAATTTTTCAATAGCTAGGCTTTAAGACATTTATATGTAGTAGTTAAAACATAAATCTTCCATATCCCTATTCCTAAAGATACATATTCTTCCCAAAATTGCTTGTAGAGTGTGATACTTCATTGGTGATCTACAGTACATAGGCTTGAGCAAGATGCATATAAAATATTGCAAAATAACATTAAAGTATTTGTAATAAAATTACTTCCTTTTAGAAACTGAAGACAAGGGACATTTGCTTATTATAGATCCTCAACATTTTAAAAAATTTGTATTCATTTTGTATTAGTTACATATTATTGCATAACAAATTATTCCAAAATTAGGGACTTAAGAAAACAGTAAGTATTTATTACATTATGGTGTTTGTGGGTCAGTAATTTCCAGTGGACACATGGGGATGGCTTACTTTGGCTCTGTCATGTCTAGAGTCTCAACTAGAAGACGTAAACTTTGGGGAACTGAAGTCATCCAAAGGTTAAGCCTGGAAGATCTATGTCCAATTTGATTCAAGAAAACAAGACGGAAGCAGCAATTCTAGCCTCAAAAAATACATGTCACCAATATGCAGCATTCTGTTCTTTAGATGGTGCCACTAATCAGGCTCACATTCAAGAGATGGTAGGTAATTAGGGTGAGAAGTATAGAACACTTGGCAAACCACTACACTAAGAGACTGGACCAAACTCTAGCATGACTTCTAGCAGCATAAGGACATGTCTCCAGGATGACCCTGGGCCCTTTTAAAGTGTCTGCCAAGAACCTTTAGTGCTGCCAGGAAAACTATTTGTTCTAACCAACACACACCAGATAATAGGCCCCTGTTCTACCTTTTTTGAACATTTTCTACAAAGGGTTTGCAAATATAAATCTGTTCTCTGGCAACTCAGGAGCATCTCTCTCAAAGACCTGCGAGCCATTCCTTTAAAATGTAATCATTAAGAAGGACTTATCGTCTGTCTCCTAGTCTTGGTGAAATGATAGAATCCTAACTTAGATAACAGACAGCTAGAAGACACAGCTGACCTCATCACATTTATACTGACCAACCTTTTGTACTTTTTCACTTATCTAACTCTACTGAAACCCCACACTTGCCCTTCCCTCATTTTCCCTATAAAACCTTCAAATTACCTGTGCACAAGTCAAAATGGAACTCAGCCCTTTTCACAACTCTCATAAGTTACTGAATAAAATCTGTTTTCACCTCTTCAAATAATATCTGGCTGTATTTATCTTAGACATGCTGAGACATGTCAATGTATTTAAAAATGACCATAGTTACTCAAAGGTATGACATATTGAACTATTTTTGCTTTTGTTTTCTTGGTTTAGTAGTACAGGGAGAATAACCTTAGGTTAAGAAGCCACATTCATGGATGTTACTGGCATCCATGTGAATGAATCCAAATGCCTTTTAAGTGGTGATCTTCCTTAAGGAAGTGGTAAAATGAAAACATTAGCATACTGGTTCCTGAGTATTTGCAAGAAGCACCCAGGAAAATGCACACACACACACACACACGCACACACGCACATGCACACGCACATACACATGCATACACAGAGACATACATTATGAAAATATGACCTTATCTGAGTTCCTGAAGTTGTTCACATGACTAGATTGAGCTACAGAAAATTGAATTACTATTATTGTTATCCTATAAGACTATAATTTCAATTATATGCTGGTGAGCCTGAGTGTAGCTTCATTAATTTAGTCATATCAAAAGCAATTTACAGGGATCAATTGCCATGAAAGAATGTTTTGTGAAATAAAATCACATTAGTATTAAAACATATGAGATAACATTTTGAGGAAAAAATTCATGTCTAACAAATTTAAATAAAGATAAAGGACAACTCTCCTGTGATCTTAGATATTAATGCAGTAGTTAAAATTAAGAGAGTAGTCAAGTTTTCAGTCAAGATAAAAAGTTATTCTAGGATAAGACATCATAAGGCATGAGTTGCATAAAGTTAGACTTGAAATGTAATAAATTTTAAAAAATGTCTACAAGCCAAATAATTATAAAGTGACCAAAAAGTTCTTACTTTTTATTTTTAGTATTTTCTAAGCTACTATATTTATCAGCTATTGTGATTTTTTCCTATTTAGAAAATAAAGAAATAGTTGCATATAGACATACCTCAGTTTATTCTGCTTCACTTTATTGAGCTTTACAGATACTGTGATTTTTTACAAATTGAAGTTTTCTTACAAATCTGCATCCAGCAAGTCTATTGGCACCATTTTTCCAACAACATGTGTTCCCTTCATGTCTCTGTGTTACATTTTAGTAATTTTCACAATATTTTAAACTCTTTATTATTATTATATCTGCTATGGTGACCTGCTAACAGTAATTTTTATGCTAATATTATAATTCTTTAGGACTCCTCAAACCATACCTATATAAGGCACCAAGCATAATTCCTAAATGTACGTATTCTGATTGCTCCACCAACTGACTGCTCCTCCATCTCTCTCTGTTTCTTTGGGCCTCTTTATTCTCTGAGACATAAGAATATAGAAGTTAGGCCAACTTGTAACCCTACAATGGCCTATAAGTGTTCAAGTAAGAGGAAGAGCCACATATTTTTCACTTTTAATCAAAAGCTAAAAATGCTTAAGCTTAGTGATGAAGTCATGCCGAAAGCAGAGATAGGCCAAAAACTAGGCCTCTTGGGCCAAACACTAAGCCAAGTTGTGAAGCAAAGAAAAAGGTTATTGAAGGAAATTAAAAGCACTACTCCAGTGAACACAGGAATGACAAGAAAGTGTGAAACATCCTTATTGCCGGTATAGAAGAAGCTGTATTGATCTGGATAGATCAAACCAGCCACAACATTCTCCCAAGCAAAGCCTACTCCAGAGCAAGGCCCTAACTTTCTTTAATTCTATTAAGGCTGAAAGAGGTGAGAAAACTGTAGAAGAAAATGTGGAAGCCAGCAGAGTTTGGTTCCTGAGGTGTAAAAAAGTAATAATCTCTATAAACAAAAGTGCAAAGTGAAGCAGCAAGTATTGAATTAGATGCTATGGTAAGTTACTTAGAAAATTTGGCTAAAATAATTGATGAAGATGGCTACACTAAGAACAGATTTCCAATGTACATGAAACAGCCTTATATATGGGAAGAAGATATCATTTACCATTTCTATAGCTAGGGAAAAGAAGTCAATTCCTGGCTTCAAAGCTTTAAAGGACAGACTGACTTTCTTATTTGGGGCTAATGCAGTTGGTGGCTTTAAATTGAAGCTAATGCTCATTTAACATTCTGAAAATCCTAGACTCTTAAGAATTATGCTGAATCTATTCTGTCTAGGCTCTATACATGGAAACAAAGCCTGAATGGCACCACTTGTTAACAGCATGGCTTATTAAATATTTTAAGTTCATTATTGACACCTACTGTTCAGGTAAAAAAAAAAGAAAAGATTTCTTTCAAAATATTAGTGCTCATTGACAATGCTCCTAGTCATCCAAGGGTTCTGATGGAGATATACAAGGAGATTAATGTTGTTTTCATGCCTGCTAATACAACATTCTTTGTGCAGCATATGGCTCAAGGAGTAATTTTGACATTCAAGTTTTATTAGCTAAGAAATACTTCTGGGCAGGCCGCGGTGGCTCATGCCTGTAATCCCAGCCCTTTGGGAGTCCAAGGCAGGCGGATCACCTAAGGTCAGGAATTCGAGATCAGCCTGGCCAACATGGTGAAACCCCAACTCTACTAAAAATAAAAGAATTAGCCAGGTGAGGTGGTTCTACTGCCAGGTCGAGGCAGTAGAATCGCCCAAACCCAGGAGGCGGAGGTTGCAGTGAGCCAAGATCGCACCACTGCTCTCCAACCTGGGCAACAGAGAGAGTCAAAATCTAAAAAAAAAAAAAAAATTCTGAGGCAGTAACTGACACAGATAGCGATTCTTCTGATGGTTCTGGGCAAAGTGAATTAAAAGTCTTCTGAAAAAGATTCACCATTTTAGATGCCATTAAGAACATTTGTGATTCATGGTAGGAGGTAAAAATGTTTACATTAAAAGAAATTTGGAAGAAGTTGATTACAGTCCTCATGAATGACTTTGAGGTGTTCAATACTTCAGTGGAGAAACAACTGCAGATGTGGTGGAAATATCAAAAGAACTAGAAGGGGAGCACTAAGATGTGACTGAATTGCTGAAATCTCTGATAAAACTTGAACAGATGAGGGAGGCGCTTTTATGGATGAGCAAAGAAAATGGTTTCTTAAGATGGAATCTACTTTTGGTGAAGATGCTGTGAACATTGTTTGGTTTTTTTTTGTTTTTTTTTTTTTTCAATCCTCCAAGACGTCTGAAATATGAACACTGTTGAAATGACAACAAAGGATTTAGAATATTATCTAAAGTCAGTTGATAAAGCAAAGGTTGGGTTTCAGAGGATTTACTCTAATTTTAAAAGAAGTTCTACTGTGGGTAAAATGCCATCAGATAGCAATGCATGTTACATGGAAATCTCCCATGAAAGGAACAGTCAATCAGTGTGGCAAATTTCACTGTTGCCTTATTTTAAGAAATTGCTGCAGACATCCCAAACTTCAGCAACCACAACCTTAATAGTCAACAGCCATCAACATTGAGGCAGGATCCTCCACCAGCAAAAGGATTACAACTTTCTGAAGACTACGTGATTGTTAGCATTTAGCAATAAAGTAGTTGTAAATTAAAATATGTCATTTTTACACATGATATTACATGATGAACCACAGTATGGTGTAAATGTAATTTTTATATTGAGTGGAGAACCAAAAACATTGTGTGGCTCACTTTATTGCAATAGCCTGGAACAGAACGTGCAATATGTCTGAGGTATATCTGTAATCATAAAGTCAAATATAAGTTCAGCAGCTGCTAGCCTCACCTGCTTTCTGGCCAGTCACTTTATTACTCATTCATGTGTGGTTTATTACTAAATACCTGTTGGTGTCTTAGAATTCACCGTCAGTGAAGAACACTCATTTACAGACTTTTAGAGAAAGTTTATCTCAGTTTGCAAACAGTATGAAGGCAGATACATTAAGAATTGATTGTACTTGAATGACTACTGGGTAAATAATGAAATGAAGGCAGAAATAAAGATGTTCTTTGAAACCAATGAGAACAAAGACACAACGTACCAGAATCTCTGGGACACACTTAAAGCAGTGTGTAGAGGGAAATTTATAGCACTAAATGCCCACAAGAGAAAGCAGGAAAGATCTAAAATTTATGCCCTCACAGCACAATTAAAAGAACTAGAGAAGCAAGAGCAAACAAATTCAAAAGCTAGCAAAAGGCAAGAAATAATTAAGATCAGAGCAGAACTGAAGAAGATAGAGACACAAAAAAACTCTTCAAAAAGCCAATGAATCCAGGACCTGTTTTTTTTTTTTTTTTTTTTTTTTTTTTTTTTTGGAAAAGATCAACAAAATAGACTGCTAGCAAGGCTAATAAAGAAGAAAAGAGAGAAGAATCAAATAGATGCGATAAAAAATGATAAAGGGGATATCACCACCAATCCCACAGAAATAAAAACTACCATCAGAGAATGCTACAAATACCTCTATGGAAATAAACTAGAAAATCTAGAAGAAATTGATAAATTCCTGGACACATACACCCTCCCAAGACTAAACAAGGAAGAAGTTGAATCTCTGAATAGACCAATAACAGGTTCTGAAATTGAGGCAATAATTAATAGCCTATCAGCCAAAAAAAGTCCAGCACCAGATGGATTGACAGTCAAATTCTACCAGAGGTAGAAGGAGGAGCTGATACCATTCCTTCTGAAACTATTCCAATCAACAGAACAAGAGGGAATCCTCCCTAACTCATTTTATGAGGCTAGCATCATCCTGATACCAAAACCTCGTAGACACACAACAAAAAAGTGAATTTTAAGCCAATATCCCTGATGAACATCGATGTGAAAATCCTCAATAAAATATTGGCAAACCGAATCCAGCAGCACATCAAAAAGCTTATCCACCATGATCAAGTCAGCTTCTTCTGTGGGATGCAAGGCTGGTTCAACATATGCAAATCAATAAACGAAATCCATCACATAAACAGAACCAACGTCAAAACACATGATTATCTCAATAGATGCAGAAAAGGCCTTCCACAAAATTCAACAGCACTTCATGCTAAAAATTCTCAATAAACTAGGTATTGATGGAACGTATCTCAAAATAATAAGAGCTATTTATGACAAACCTACAGCCAATATAATACTGAATGGGCAAAAACTGGAAGCATTCCCTTTGAAAACTGGCACTAGACAACGGTGCCCTCTCTCACCACTCCTATTCAACATAGTGTTGGAAGTTCTGTCTAGGGCAATCAGGCAAGAGAAAGAAATAAAGAGTATTCAACTAGGAAAAGAGGAAGTTAAATTGTCCCTGTTTGCAGATGAAATGATTGCATATTTAGAAAACCTCATTGTCTCAGCCCCAAATCTCCTTAAGCTGAGAAGCAACTTCAGCAGTCTCAGGATACAAAATCAATGTGCAAAAATCACAAGTATTCCTATACACCAATAATAGACAAGCAGAGAGCCAAATCATGAGTGAACTCCCATTCACAATCACTACAAAGAGAATAAAATACCTAAGAGTCCAACTTACAAGGGACGTGAAGGACCTCCTCAAGGAGAACTACAAACCACTGTTCAATGAAATAAAAGAGGATACAAACAAATGGAAAGGCATTCCATGCTCATGAATAGGAAGAATCAATATAGTGAAAATGGCCATACTGCCCAAAGTAATTTATAGATTCAATGCTATTCCCATCAAGCTACTACTGACTTTCTTCACAGAATTGGAAAAACCTACTCTAAAGTTCATATGGAACCAGAAAAGATCCTGCATAGCCAAGACAATCCTAAGCCAAAAGAACAAAGCTGGAGGCATCACGCTACCTGACTTCAAACTATACTACAAGGCTACAGTAACCAAACAGCATGTTACTGGTACAAAAACAGGTATATAGACCAATGGAACAGAACAGAGCCCTCAGAAATAACACCACCCATCTACAACCATCTGATCTTTGACAAACCTGACAGCAACAAGCAATGGGGAAAGGATTTCCTATTTAATAAGTGGTGCTGGGAAAACTGGCTAGCCATATGTAGAAAGATGAAACTGGATCCCTTCCTTACACCGTATACAAAAATTTACTTAAGATGGATTAAAGACTTAAATGTTAGACCTAACACCATAAAAACCTTAGAAGAAAACCTAGGCAATACCATTCAGGACATGGGCATGTGCAAAAACTTCATGACTAAAACACCAAAAGCAGGAGCAACAAAAGCCAAAATAGACAAATGGGATATAATTAAACTAAAGAGCTTCTGCACAGCAAAAGAAACTATCATCAGAGTGAACAGGCAACCTACAGAATGGGATAAAATTTTTGCAATCTACCCATCTGACAAAGGGCTAATATCCAGAATCTACAAGGAACTTAAACAAATTTACAAGAAAAAAACAAACAACCCCATCAAAAGGTAGGCAAAGAATATGAACAGATATTTCTCAAAAGAAGACATTTATGCAGCCAAAAAACACAGGAAAAAATGCTCGTCATCACTGGCCATCAGAGAAATGCAAATCAAAACCACAACGTGATACCATCTCACACCAGTTAGAATGGTGATCATTAAAAAGTCAGAAAGCAACAGATGCTGGAGAGGATGTGGAGAAATAGGAACGCTTTTACACTGTTGGTGGGACTGTAAACTAGTTGAACCATTGTGGAAGTCGGTGTGGCGATTCCTCAGGGATCTAGAACTAGAAATACCATTTGACCCAGCCATGTCATCACTGGGTATATATCCAAAGGATTATAAATCATGCTGCTATAAAGACACATGCACACATAAGTTTATTGTGACACTGTTCACAATATCAAATTCTTGGGACCAACCCAAATGTCCAACAATGATAGACTGGATAAAGAAAATGTGGCACATATACACCATGGAATACTATGAGTTACAGCTCTTTGCAGGAAAAAGGATGAGTTCATGTCCTTTGCAGAGACATGGATGAAGCTGGAAACCATCATTCTCAGCAAACTATCACAAGGACAGAAAACCAAACACCACATGTTCTCACTCATAGGTGGGAGCTGAACAATGAGAACACATGGACACTGTGCGCAGAATATCACACACAAGGGCTGGTCAGAGGGTGAGGGGCAAAGGGTGGGAGAGCATTAGGAGAAATACCTAATGTAAATGACGAGTTGATGGGTGCAGCAAACCAACATGGCACATGTATACATATGTAACAAACCTGCACATTGTGCACATGTACCCCAGAACTTAAAGTACAATTAAAAAAAGTAAAAAATAAAAATAAAAATAAAAAATGAATTGATTGTTCTTATCCTGCCTGATACATTGTTCAAAAGTATCTCTGTGGGAAATCCATGCAGGAACTTCAGCCAGTGTTATCTAAACTAATTGTAAAAAACAAAAACAAATACTAAAAACTTTATCATTATATCTTTTTCCTGACAAAAACACACAAAATGATGACAATTTTACATTCCATATGTGATATGGTTTGGCTGTGTCCGCACCCAAATCTCATCTTGCATTGTAACTCACACAATTCCCACGTGTCATGGCAGGAACCCGGTGGGAGACAACTGAATTATGGGGACGGGTCTTTTCTGCACTGTTCTATTGATAGTGAATGAGTCTCATGAGATCTGATGGTTTCAAAAATGTAAATTTTCCTACACAAGCTCTCTTTCTGCCTGCTGCCATCCACGTAGGATGTGACTTGCTCCTCCTTGCCTTCCACCATGATTGTGAGGCCTCCCCAGCCATGTGGAACTCTTCAATAACTCTTTTTCTTTTGTAAATTGCCAAGTCTTGGGTATTTCTTTACCAGCAGTGTGAAAATGGACTAATGCAATATGTAAGCCTTTTTAGTAAGATGTATACATTTGAATCCTCAAATTAACTTTTCATTTTACTTAAAACATTATGCTATTAAAAAGCAAACACAACTCTAGCATGCCCACAATCATTGTGATTACCTGTTATAATTCCTTAAAAGTGTATTTGAAGTTGAACTTGTATCAAAAGTTATAGAATTCATACTTCACCAGGTAAAAAGATTTTTAGAAATCCAGAGCTCATACAGTGAATAAGCCCCTCATTACTTCTTTGTAAAATAATGCTGTATTGAAATGTCTTTCTAAACTCTTATCTTTTCATTTCATTTTGTGACTTTCTCTCCTTGTAGCTATTTATATATCATCTTCTCTCAATATTTACCAAACACAACTCTGTTCTTTTAAGTCGTTAGTACTCTCTCCTTATAAGTTGTCAGTAGCACAGAAAAACATTTTTACATATATCTTACTTATAGTACATTTAAATGGAGAATATTACACAACATTTCACATTGGCAGGGAGCAAAAGCATCTTCCTGCACATTTATTCTCTTTTCGGGAAAGAAAAGAAATCGTAAGCCTGGATTTGAACAATGGTCTTTTTGAGTTAAGCTTACCTCTGCTTTTCATGTTCTGGATTGTAGAACTCATGTGTCTAGCACTATAAAACATAGCACTTACATTTTAGTGCTAAATAACAAAACTTTTACTCTGGCAAAAGGATTTCACTGGGATTTAACGATCCTTGTGCTCATTCCTCATTTCTTCTCTGTTAAATTAACCAATGCTGCTCCAAAGCATTTTCTCTCTCCTTTTGTCCCTAGCTAGCCTCTTTCACTCTTATTTGATAATATCAACACCAGTTTTATAGAGCTGATTGAAAGTATATAATAATATGAATCCATGGCAGGAGAAACATTCTTTTTAATGGCATTACCTCTCCTTTTTTTTTCCCTGCCAAAATATGCCCACTGTTGTGTGAATATCTAAACTCGTGATCTGATACTGTTTAAGTCATTTTGCTATTTTCAACTTTGCTTCTTTTTAAAATATTTTCTTCCATATTATATGTTACCTTTCATCTCTCTTCCCTTAATTCTAATCTAATCAGAAAGGACCTTTTATTTTCATTTGCCCACTTCAAATATTGTCCTATATCTGTACTTCTTGTTACCACTGACATTCTTTAAATAATGGTTTACTTATATTTCCTTTCCTTCTTGATGTTTTATTTATTTATTTTTATTTTTTACACTACATTAAGTTCTGGCATTCTGACTCCTGCCTTCAGCAATATGGCAAAATGGCTCTCTTCAAAGTTATCTATATTCTTATAGTACCTAAACCCAACTACTTATTTTCTGTGATCTGAGTACAGATTTTGTCATTGTTTTCTTGAATGTTGATCTGTCTCTTCTTCCACGATCCAAGATACAATGCTAATCACATTCTTGTCTTGTACACCTGCCCCTCCTTTTCTCTCTATTTTACTGACTATTTCCAATTCAAAATTATGAATTGCTCAAAGAAATCACCCTGAAATTTTCCCATGTTCCATGTTTTACCTGAGAGATCTCAATTACTCTTCTGGCTTCCTTCACCTTAGAAAGATATCTACTAAATCTTTAAGGTGAAGATGGCACTCTTCAGTGACTGGTTGTTTCAGTGACACATTAAATTCAGACTGTCCAAAACGGAGCTCATTAAATTTCATGCTTAACCAGTTTCTTACTCTGAAATCTTCATTTTCAATTTTGGCATCATGAAATGATCCATCTTTCATATTGGAGAAAACTCCATTCTTTTTAACATCACCCAGCTCCCTGCTTTTTATTCTGTCTTACAAATTCATCTTCTCTGAATACTTTTTCTTCTACCCTTGTAGCTCTACTCCCTTTTATTTTCTGCAGGTTAATTCAAAGGTAGACTTCTATTTGATTTCTTTACTGTCATTCCCTCGAGTTAAACTTGAACTCCCGGGCTACCGTAGTCTCACTTCTTGACATTTTATTCACAATTGAATTATCATCTCCAATGCTTCATCTTGATGTCTCCAACCAATTCTCTTTGGTTATTTTGTAATATTGTTTATTTGCATTTAGTATTAATTGATTTTATTACTACTATCTTCTGCTGAATTTGACTTTCTAAATCACAGCAAAGATCCATGCCCTGGTTTTAACCCACTTATCCAGGATTATTTCCTATCATTTATATTTATGCTAACTGAAGTCCATGGGGTTTATTAATTCTTGTTCTATCATGTCTAGTCATCTCTTAAGATCATCTGTTGATTTATTTGAGTTATAATATTTTTTACTTCTAGAATTTCCACCTAATTTAAAAACTATATACTTTGTCAGTCTGTGGTGAATTTCTCCAGCATTTTCTGCTATTTTCTTAATTTATTAATCATAATTAGTTTTAATAACCTAAGATAAGTTTAATATTTAAATAATCAATGAGCTTATTTTGATTGTATGCTATTTCCTTTTCAATTTTGGTTATTTGGTCATTTTGTCAATTTTGGTTATTTGGTCATTTTGTCATTTTTAGACTACGCTGTAACATTTTTATATAAAAAATTTAGAGTTGCTATATTATGTTCTCTTACTCTAAAAGGGGTTATATTTTCTTATGTCTTAACACAATATCAGGAGACCACTTTGATCTTGGCAAAGATTTATTTTAAGTTGTGTTATTTTTGATCTGTTTAATTTTTTCCTTTGTTCCTAGAGTTTAGTTCTTAATCCTATGGTTATCTTACTGAAAGCATAGAATGGTTGTCTAAGCCCCTGCGCCTTATAAGGTCTTGCATTTCTGCCATTTCACCTAAAAACCTAGAAGGATGAACTAGCCACATCATTTTACAGAGGCTTGAATTTCTATCGTTTTACCTGGAAGTATATTGTGGTGACCTAGCCACTCCACTTTGGAAGAATTTCAACTCCCAAATCTCTTTTCCTCACAAATTATAGCTGCTAAATGTGTGCTTATGTCTTTAGCCAAAGAATTTCTATCTTCTGCTAGGTTATTAGAGTTTTGCCTTATGCATTCGTAACTATGCAGTCAACCAAACATTAAGAGGAAATTGTACAGAGTCGTGGGTTTACTTCCCTGTGATCTCCTGTTCCCCAGGATTTTTGGCATCCTAAAGTTCTGTCTTCTGCAGCTAGTAATCCTGCTGCTTTCTTCTTGTTCTTCAGTCCCCCAAACTTCCAACAGGCAAATATCTTCAGGGAAGAAAAGTGTAAATGTGAAACTTCACCTGGTACATTCTCTCAGGAATTGCAGCTCTACTCCTTCTCGTATGTGCATTATTTCCCTTTCAATGACATCAGACAGTTGTTTCATGTATTTTGTTTAGATTTCATGGTTATTTTTGGTAGAAGAATTAATCAATACAAGCTATTTTATCACAATTGCCTTCCTTTTTACTATTCTTAAAATATTTTGTGGATAAGTGGTGTTACATATTCCTGATTTTGTTCAATAGAATTTACAAATGAAGTCATGGAAGTTTTTTCCTAGGGAATTTTATTTCATTGAGAGATGTAGGAATATTCAAATTTTCTAGTTTTTTTGTGTTACTTTTGTTAAGTTGCATTTTTCAAAAAATTTGTTCATTTCAAGAAAGTCACCAAATGTAAAGTTTTCACAATGATCACCTATTAATTTTTTATTATCTATAGGATTATTTATAATATTAATTATAGTTTCCAAATTTTAGATGAGAAATGCTATTACATTTTGAAAAATTCAGAATAAATAAAAATAAAGTCTTCCTTTTGCCTTTGCCCTTCAATATTCCAGAAGCTTTTCATAAAATTGATGGGCTAATATACATACTATTCTGTACATAACTTTTATTAATATTTTTCCTGCAGAGATTGCTATATTAGGACACAAAAATCTTCTTCATCTTTGTTTATGGCTTTATAATATAGGCATACCATGATTAATTCTTGCACCCTGCACCCCATTTATGAACATCCACATAGTATCCAGGCTTGTCATACATGAAATGCTGTACTAAACAACTTTACTGTGCCCATTTCCACACATATATGAGTTTGTCTTTAAGGTAACTTTCTGTAAATGTAATTGCTTAGTCAAATGTTGCATGCATTTATAATTTTGAAAAATATTGTCAGATATTTTATTAGAGATTTATCTTAATTTACACACCTGCCAACAATGTGTGAGAGCCTGTTTCTTTATGCCTTTTCAACACCATATAATTAATACCAGTTTGAAAAAAAAGACTTCTGAATTTACTTTTTGTTTGCCTTTATTTATAAATACAGCTGAGTCTTTCTTTATGTTTAATGATGCCTCTATTTCCTATTTTCAAAGTGCCTATGGTTTTTCACTATCTTTCCATTGAACTTTTGTTAGACGTCTCCCTAATTAATTAATAGCTACTCTTTACAAATGAGAAACATTATTTATTTTTGTCCTGGAATATGTTACAAGTATTTCACTTTGATTTTTAGTATGCCTTTGCTTTTGCTTGTGGTAATGTTTAGCAATGCCAATTTTGTTTTAATTGTAGATAGTAAAAGTCAGTGTTTTTCCAAGTAGCAAAAATGTGTATTGTTGTGAGATATTCCATTATATGAACATGCCACATTTAAAAAATATTATGTAAGCTGGATGAGGTGGTTTATGCTTGTAATCCCAGCACTTTGAGAGGCCAAGGTGGAAGGACTGCTTGAGGCCAGGAGTCTGAGTCCAGCCTGAGCAAAATAGTGAGACTTCTTCCCCACAAAAAAAATTCTGAAAAATGATTAGCTGGGCACAGGGGTCTGCACCTGGTAGTCCCAGCTACTGAGAGGCTGAAGTGGGAAGATTAGTTGAACCCAGGAGTTTGAGGTTGCCTTGGGCTATGATCATATCACTGCATTCTATCCTGGGTGACAGAGCAAAACTCTGCCTCTAAAAAAACGAAAATGAAGAAAAAATTACATATATATTATATATATATATATATATATATATATACACACACACACACATAAAATGTATTCTAATTTTGATGGACATCTGAATGTTTCTATCACAAAGCTAATATAAATAACATTTCTCTGGAGATTTTGGTGCAAGTCTCTTGAACATTGGTGCAGACTTTTCTGTTGAGTGCTAGGAGTAAATTTGTCAAAATTTTCATTGGCTATTTTTATGTTGTTTTAGTAAGTAATTACAAAATTAGTTTTAAAGAAAGATACAATTGTTTCACTTTGTTAGCAATACTTGATATTAACAAATATTAAAGTTTTGCCATGCTGGTGTTTGTGTTGGGAAAATTCATTGTGATTTTAGTGCTAATTCCCTTCATTACTAATGAATCTAAGCACTGTACCATATGTCTATGAGCAATTTGATAATTTGCTTTAAGTGTAAGATTATTAAAAGTTATGCATTTTTTAAAAAATGTCTCTGGTCAAGTCTTCTTCTGTATTTTCTTGTTAATTTGTGGAAGTTTATATATTCTCGATGGATCTTTTGTGGTCCCATATGTTGCAGGTATCTTATTCCATTCCTTTGTCTATTTGATTCGTAATCATATCTCTTAACAAACAGAAATGTTTAATGCCATCCAAATTATCAGGTTTTAATTTTCTTAATGGCTAGCTTTTAAAATATGTTTAAGATAGCTTTTCGTTTTTAAAATTTACAGAGATGCTCTCCTATGCTGTCTCCCTGGTGATCTTTTTCACTTCCTTTATGTCTAGAATCTACCTGCAACTGGCCTTTGTGCATAAAGTGAAGTGATCATCAATTTTTTCTGTCTTTATAACTGTCCAAACATGATTTCTTACAAATATATCAATTTTATAAACCAAATATTTATACATGGTCCTGTCTATTCCTGGGCTCTATTTGCTTTCATTAATCAGTTCACATATTCTTATATACTTAGAAAAAAAAATTTAAACCAGGTAATTTACAGTTGAAAATTCTACCTTTATATCTAAGTTTTACTTTTAGTCATTATCTATTAAGCATATATTATGATCAAATATAGAGTTTGTATTTTCCTTTTTCTTCTCTCATTTTTCTCCTTATTTTGAAACGGGAAAAGTTTCCTTGTCCCCCTCGCAGGGCGTGAGTTGGGCATGTGGCTCGCTTCTTCAGTGCCCCGGTGCTCAAACCTCTAGAGGAGCATACAGACTGGCAGGCTGTGGGCTCTGACCCCACGGCAGTGTCTAGGGGTAAATGTTTACAGCTGAAGCCCCAGTAGGCATCTGTTACAGGGTGCTCTTTTAGTTTTGCCGTCTATAGGTGGCTTGTGTTAGTCGGCTCAGTTAGACTCCCTTCCTTATCACAAGGACGGAGGGATTTCTGTATCCCGGGTTCCTACTTTGATGTACCAGAAGAATCAGATCACACTGGGCTTGGAGAATGAGTGCAAGGTTTATTGAGTGGAAGCAGCTCTCAGCAGATGGGGCAGCCAGAAGGGAGATGGTTTTCCCTTGGCGTCAGGCCGCTTGGTGGGTTGGGGTCTCCTCCGACTGCCTGGGCCAAACTCCAAGTCGTTCTGCCGGTAGGTGGCCTGCTGGTGCGCTGGTGCCTGTTGGTGCGTCCCTCTTGACGTCCAGCCACTTGTGTGTTCCTCCGCTGGCATGCTCCTCTCGACGTCCAGCTGCCTGTGTGTCTGCCTGCTAGGGTCTCGGGGTTTTTGTAGGTACAGGATGGGGGCCTGGCAGGCCAGGGTGGTCTTGGGAAATACAACAGTTGGACTGAAAGGCAAGAGTGCCTGTCTTCACCTAGGTCCATGAGGAGAAGCCTGGGGATGAAGCCCTTGCCAGTGACCCACCCTTATCCTCTACCCAGCACTTCCCTGCTTCCCTCCTGTATCAGTTTGATTTTAATTATATCATTTTATTTGTGTTTCCATTTAAACTGTTAAACATATTTGAACCTCAAGTTCTTGATTTATTTCAAATATATTGGCCTCTAGGTACTAAAGATAAGGAAGTAAAAACGTCTTTCTCTTTTTCAGCCATCTTTCTTTCTTCCTTTCCTTGTTAGTTATATTATTTCTACTTCATCAGAGTTTATATGGCTACTATTTGTTGTGGAACATCATCTCCTTGTTTGTTACATCCTAATTCCTAAAGACAAGCAGATAATTTCTCACTGCCAGTTATTTTGCCTTTAAATATTTTCTTGTTTTTTTCCCAGTAAATTATGTAAAAATGGCCTGTAGAAATAATGTCCTTTCTTCTTAGATATTTAAAACTAATTTCTCTTAACATTACACTCTACCAATAGTAATTTGCTACACTATTTTTTTAAACTTCACTCTCTTTATTGATACATTAGGCATTTTCCCTACTATCTTTTAATGTTAAATGTTGACTTGGGAAATTATTTATGCTATTTTATATGTTGTCTGGTAAAATGATTTTGTTTTTTGTTTGGCTGTCAAAAATACTTTTTTATTTACCAGTAGATACTAATTTATTTTTAAGGATATTATTTCAAGCTGGTCCTCTGGGTTAATAGTCTCTGAAATATGGTGTACTTAATATGTAGATTAAAATATTTATTTTAATTTCAGAAATAAAAGTGTATTTTAAAATTTTATATCCTATTCTATTATTTAAATTTTATTGTATAAGGACTTTAATTGTGTACATATTCAATATCCTTTCCTATCTATATATCACCTCCTCTCTTATTTATATTATTTTTCCTTTTTAAGATTATTTAACTTATTTAATATTCATTACCATTTCATTTCTGTTTTCCAAATTTTTCATTATGATTTTAACATTGTCTATCTTCCTTGGTGTCTTTCTTATTTACTTTTTATCAGTAACATTTTTCTGTTTTCCACATCTTTTCTCTCCCTTGACAACCCAGGAATCCAGTTGTAATATTCTTCTGGTGTCTTTCATCTTTTATAAAAGATCTTAAATTTCTGGTGTGTATTCTTATTTCACAGATGTGATTGTATTTTTTTTTTTTTTTTTGTATTTCATTCATGGCCAAGCAGTCAGTTTGAATTGTCCTTTATTTAAATATATATATTTTCCTGGAGATTGTTTTCTCATTTGATATTTGTTTTTTATATCTCATCTGTGTTCAACTCATAACGTTTTTATATTATCCTTTGCTGCTTCTTTCCACTTTTTTTAAAAATAATTTTTAAAGGGTATCTGTTCTTCCCGGGCTAAGCTATTTGAAACCAATTCCTACCAACAAAAGACAATTAGCAGCCAGAATTTATTAAAAAGACAAACAAACAAATAGAAAAATATCTCTTCCTTGCCACTCCAGGGACATACAACTTTGTTCAAGTAGAGATTGTCTTTGTAATTTTTTTCATTAGCTACAATTCCTCTGATTATTGAAATTTAACTCAGTGTAAGGAAAATTTTAATCCCAGAACAATCATTTTGCCCTTATCCTTTTGTGATGGTTGTTTTTAAGTGTCAACCTGACTGAATTAAGGAGTACTAGAGAACTGGTAAAGTATTACTCCTGGGTTAACCTGTGAGGGTGTTTCTAGTGGAGACTGGTGTTTGAATCAGTGGACTCGATGGGGAAGATCCACCTTTAATGTGAATGGGCACCATCCAACATCCTGGGGCTCCGGATAGAACAAAAAAAGACAGAAAAAAGGACAATGTTCTCATTCTCCTGGAACTGGAACAGTTCTCCTGCCCTTGGACATTAGAACTCCAGGCTCTCTGGCCTATGGACTCTAGGACTTACACCAGCGGCCTCCAGTTTCTCACACTGAGAATTATATCAGCTTCTCTTTTCCTGAGGTTTCAAACTTGGACTGAGCCATGTTACCTATTGGCATCCCGGGGTCTACAGGTTACAGACAGCATGTGATGGGACTTCTCAGTCTCCATAATCTTGTGAGCCAATTTTCCTGGTTAATTTCTTCTCATATATATCTATATCTATATCACCTATTAGTTTTGTCTCTCTAGAGAACCCTGACTAGTATGTCTTTCAAACAAGTAATTTAGATTTTTCATCTCCAATGAATTTTCCTTCTCCAAGAAATATGTTGCTAGGTATCTCTGAAATCCACAATTGCAGCAGTTCTCTTTTTTGGCTTGCTTCAGCCTCCATATGCAACTGCTCATCCCCCATTCCTTCATGCAGATTTCCATCCCTTTTGTAATTTTGTGGTTTCATTGTCTCTTAATATCTTTTTGTGTTTTTCTAGTTTCCCTTGCTGCTCTGGGGTGATTTTGAGAAAGATAATGAGGTAATGTTATCTTTTGCTTCTGCATTTTCAACATAGATGTCTTTTTAAAATCACTATTATTATTTATATTTCATTTGTTAAATACTTAGTATGCCACATGACACTAGAATATTTATTTATTTTTTGTCTTAGATAGCAAGCTTCTAAAGGCAGTTGTGCTTTTTCTTTTTTTTTTTTTTAAATGCTGTGAAGTACTTAGCATAGTGTCCTACACACAGAAGGGTGTTGATATTGGAACATAAAATCACTAGTTTTGGAGAACACAGACGAATTGGTTCTGTAAATAAATATTTTTGGTAATTCAAGTTTAGTCTTGGAAAACCTAAAGTTTTACAAAAGAAGAAAATTGACTGTAGGTCTTAGGTTTTTTGCATTATTAAGGTGAGATTTGTAAAGTAAGCATGCATTTTGGTTTGAAATCAATGAAAAGAAAGAATAACATTCAAGCTAATTGAATTGAATGTTTTGTACTATATCTGATCTTGTTTGAAAACGGATGGAGTGAGGTGGACCAGGACTAATCTGACTTTTGATCTGGGTTGAAATTAATTCAATTTACATTACAGAAAAGAAAAATATATTACATTCAACAAATCAAATTAAATTAATTTTTCTCAATTAAACTGATTTGTTTGGATTAGCATAATTTACTATACTTCGACCTGATTGAATTCAACTGAAAAAATATAATGGAATATGTGGAAGAAATGTTCTGAATTTAGCAATAGTTCATAAAATAAGCCTTGTTTGAGATCAGCAGTTCCCAACCTTTTTGGCACCAGAAACTGGTTTCATGGAAGACAACTTTTCTACAGATGAGACTGTGGATGAGACTGTTCCACCTCAGATCATTAGGTCTTAGATTCTCATGAGAGTGCAACCTAGATCTCGCACGTGTACAGTTCACAGTAGGGTTTGCACTCCTATGAGAATCTAATTTTGCTGCGGATCTGGCAAGAGGTGGACCTCAGGCGGTGATACTCGCTCGCTGGCCACTCACCTCCAGCTGTTTCAGCCTGGTTACTCAGAAGCCACGGGTATAGGTCTGCAGCCCAGGGGTTGGGGACCATTGTTTTAGATTATGTAATATGCCCTGGATTGAATTAAAAGGCTTATCTTTTTTAGATAGAATTTAACAGAACACCCTTTCTTACAGAACTATGCTGAATAAATGCTACTAAATATAAAATTTAAAAACAATTCAAACATTTTTGTGAAGAATACTTATTCTCACTAATTTTATTTTCTCTTTCTCTTGTTAACCTCAACACATGTCCT
This sequence comes from Homo sapiens, assembly GCF_000001405.40. Lineage (NCBI taxonomy): Eukaryota > Metazoa > Chordata > Mammalia > Primates > Hominidae > Homo > Homo sapiens. The sequence continues at coordinate 38,477,653 of NC_000011.10, read as the reverse complement.
TTGTTTTGTTTTAGTTTTTGTTTAATTTTTCTGATCTGCTTTTCTGGCATTATTACCCTTCATGAATAGATTGTGTATTTATAAGAGAAACCTACATTTTTATTTCTCTTGATCTCTGTTTCACATAGAATGCAGTCATACTATGCATAACAGAATTTCAGTCAAGGATTTACCACATATATGACGGTGGTCCCATAAGAATTTATAACACATCTTAAAAATTCCTGTTGCCTAGCAATGTCACAGCTGTCAGAACTTCACAGTGCCATTCATTATTCACATATTTGTGGTGATGCTCGTGTAAACAAGCCTACTATGCTGCCAGTTGTATAAAAGTGTCTTGTAATGTCCTAGGCCTTCACGTTCATTCAGCCCTCACTCATTCAGCCCTCACTCATCCACTAACCCAGAGCAACTGCCAGTCCTGTAATCTCCATTCATGGTAAGTGTTTTATACAGATGTACAATTTTTAAAATTATTTTTGTCATATTTTTACTGTACCTTTTCTATATGTAGATACACAGATATTAACCATGTTGTTATAAATGCCTACAGTATTCTATACAGTAATATGCTGTACAGGTGTGTGGCCTAGGAACAATAGGCTCCACCACATAGCCTAGATGTGTAGTTGGCTGTATCATCTAGGTTTATGGAAGTACATTCTATGATGTTTGCACAATGACTAAATTGCCTAACAATTCATTTCTTAGGACATATCCTTGTCTTTAAAAGACACATGATTGCATTTGACTATTCTTTTTCCTTAGGAAACTACCTCCCTATGGAAATATAAATAATTGAAATAATATTTAAAAGATATCCTCTATATAACAATTTAAAGAATTTTGCCAATCCATGACACAGTCTATATACCATTGTATTAAGACCTCTAGAAGTCAATATTAACTCAATTGCTGTGGAAATGTTATGTTCAGGTAACAACAGCAACAACAATAAGACAGGCTGATTCATTTTGAAAGGCAAAGACAACAGGAAGTTTGGTTCATGGAGAGTCTAAGCTTTGAATAATTGAAATGATCTAAACAGATAAGCAAATAAAATACAGAAAACTGCAATAAAAGGTAGAATTCTTCTTGAAATTGAGATTCCTTGGAACAGTACAAAGTATAAATATAACATCTAAACCTGTAATTTTGACATTCAATCACTTTTTTTATATTGTCTGTTGTAAGAAAATATTTTTCCTTTTGTTCTGCAGAGTTTTATATGAGAGACCTCATCTATCAATGTGACAATCTAAAAATAATATATTTCAGACTTGTAAAATTTTCACTGCTAATTAAATAAGACATATCCTACAAACAAAGGGATTTATCTTTTAAATCTGAATGTTGATCAAATAATAAAATAACAGTTGATTTTTTATTAAAAGTCTATTCCTATGTTTTAGGGAATATAGAATTTTCCTTGTCTTCATAATAAAATACCAATTATATGAATGTCTTCAATCAACAAAATGAAATCATTTATTTTAAATAAGCAGCCCTTGCATTTAAATTATGATCTACTATTTTACGTTCTGTAACTCTACAAATTTTCCACTTTTCCCATTTAAGAGCCAAGTATATTAAAGGCTGCTTTTTCTCCATGGCATCACTTTTTCCCCCTTTGGTGAAGTAGACACAAATTAGTCTAAATGATCATTAATGCTCACTAAAAAAATACAGATATCTGGTTTTGTGCGGACTGACAAACTAAAAACATTTTGAGTAGAACCTGGGTATCTAAGTTTGTAACTACCTTTTATGCACATTACAGTGTGAGAATGTCTGCATCACTATTTCCTATGCATCATTATAGGGAAGATTTTAACTATTCTGAGATCCTAAATGAGACAGAGGGAAGAATATTACACTCAGAGCTAAAAGGCTTGAGTTAGAAATCAGGCTACGCTATTGACAAGATGTATACCTTTAGGCAACTTGAACTCTCTAATTCCATTTCCTTCACTATAAAATACAGTAATACCAGCTTTAAAACCACATTTGAACAATTAAGTTAAATGACTTAGATAAAATGCCACGAACAGTGTAGACAGTGAACAAATGTTACATGAATCTGAATAATCAAACTGCTTCAGTGAATGTAACATTCACTCTAAGTAGAAAAATCTGTTCCATTGACGAAGTAATTTCTTGAGTTATAAGTTTTCCAGAGTACTCATGCTATTAATTTTATTCTAGTTACAGATTATGGAAACTTGCTTCTTTTTCTTTGACTCACTGACTTAGAAGAATTAATCCTCATCCGTATGACAGCATACTAATTCCCATTACAGGAATATTATGCTTGGGGCTTCTCCTTCTATATATTATTCTATTATATAATATGATGTGTTTGATATCTTTTTGTCCTGGTTTTTAACCACAAATTTTTGCTGAAAGAGTTTCATATGTTTTTGTGTGCTTACTTTTAACTAAAATTAAGAAGAACTATGAGGTGTAGAAATGAAAGTTAGGAAGAAGCTCTCTCTTCATCATGCACTTTAGGGTTTGCCTACTTTATTATTGGGACCTTACCTGATGTCAACATAGATGTAAAATGGAAGTGTATTTTAGCGTTTCAATTACTTTTCAATGGCCCAGGCCAGTAATTCTTTGGGAGGATTTTAGATAAATATCAATTCTTAGTTATTTTATTTCTTTGAAGTAATTGAGATTTTAACTTCCATTATATTGCATTGATTACAGTTAATCAAGAGGTCTTTGGCTGACAACTACTGTGCGAACAACTCTCCATTAAGCCATGTTTTGAATATAGTTTTCAAAGGCTTCATTTCTTCCCGAAAGGAATCAAGTTTGTTAGAAAGTACTTACATAAACCAAGTAACAGAGCAGCATACGCACCACTATGAAGAATTAATTATTTGTATGATATAGACAAAACATTAGTTATAAATTAAGTGTTATATCTGAGTACATAAAGTAGGGAGACAAATGGAATCTCTGATTACTGAAAATAATCTAACTTTCACAAAATAGCTACTATTTGGAGAGAATTTCATCTCATGTTTTAAAAAATAGTTTATTGGATAATAAAAGGATAGACTGTTTTGATTAGAGCTTTTTCTTTTTTAACCAGAGCTTTCCAAATCTCTGCAATATTGAAGTAGTCATTGTTCTTGGTACTTTGTTGGGGTGTGTGTGTGTGTGTGTGTGTGTGTGTGTGTGTGTGTGTGTGATCTGCCTAGAAACTGACTTGTTTTGCAGCCAGGAGTGTTTTCCATTGATCTAGAGAGAATGAGACTATTTGCTTAGGTCACATTGTTATGTAGTTCCAGTTTATTCAGTGATAAATTCAAACCTACTCAGGTCAACATATGGAATAGACCAAGAATCAGCAAACTTTTTCTGTAAAGGGCCAGGTAGAATATATTTTAGTCATGTAAGCTATGCAATTTTCATCACAGTTATTAATCTCTGCTATTTTAGCACAAAAGTAGTTATAGACAATACACAAACCAACATACATGCATTCATGGGTGTGTTCCAATATCACTTTTTTGCATAATGAGGCAGAAGTCCAGATTTAGTCCTTGGATCAATATTTACGGACTCCTGGCATAGATATATACTGTGCCAATAAACTTTATACACGTGAAGAATTTTTTACTGTGTATCATGTCCCAAAAAGGAAAAAAATGGGACAAATTCTCATTCTTCTACTGTGTGCCAAGCATGGTATTGTAGTCTTTATCTTATAACATTTATTTACCGTGAACTGGATCTTCACCTGTGACCGCAAGTATCCAAGATGATCTTGATGTCCCTTACCTGCTCACGCTCACACACTCGTGTTTTCTCTTCCATGTTGAATTAGGACTAGCTCGTAATGAATAGAATATTGCAAAAATGATGTTTCGTGACTTCTTTGGATGGATCATTTTAGGAAATGGAGGTTTCTAACTCGAATTCAGATATTTATATCACTGATCAACATTTTGCTTGCAACCTCATGAGAGAACCTGACCCAGAACCACTCAGCTGAGTCACTATTTTCTCAATTTTTTTTTTTTTTTTAAAGAACAGGTATCACTCTCACCCAGGCTGGAGGGGCAGTGGCATGATCATAGCTCACTGTAACCTTGAGCTCCGGGACTCAAGTGATCCTCCTGCATCAACCTCCCTGATAGCTAGGACTACAGATGTGTTAGTAGTCCTGTAAGCCTGTTTAGATTTCTTAATTCTGGATATATGACATTACATAAGATACTGTTTTAAATTACTGTTTTGGTATTTTTTTTTGAGCAATGATAAGTAGTATACCATGTTATAGATGAGAGAAGAGCAAATATTTTCTGTAAAGAAGCAGAGAGCAAATATCTAGGATTTTTTTGACTCTATGGTCTCTGTTGCAACCATTCAACTCTGTCATTGTGCAAAAGTATCCATAAGCAGCATTTAAATGAGTAGGCAAAGATGCTTAATAAAATTTTATTTACGAACAAAACAGATGATGGGTCAGAACTGGCTTGTGGGACAAAGTTTTCTGACCTCTATTATAGTCGACAAAAACCAGGTTAAATGATATCACAAAAATGGTAATCAGTTTACTTATTTAATGGGATCATCAAATTAGGGAGTCATAAGGACAGATGACTTTCTTTCAATTTTTTTGGATATTTTAGTTTTCTTTATGTTGACCCATATTATTTTTTCCTTATATAGTTGCACAGTACTTAAGTGTAGAGAAATTTTGTAGCCTTAAACATCCCACTGAAAGTGAAGACTCTATGATTTTTTTCATTGCCTCCTCTGCAACTCTTCTAAAATTATCTTTTGAAAGTCCTTGACTTCAATCAGAGAAAAAAATAAAAAATGATGGAATAAAGATACCATGGAATAATTCACATTAGAAAATGTAATGGATCTTGTTTTCTGCCAGGAAGAGAAAGAAGTTCTCATACTCATATCTACTGTTCAATTGCAGAAGAAACTTCTCATAAACACCCCGAACTACATGGTTATTTATGACACCAAGAAACTAATGTTAAAATTTGTGAAGCTCTGCTCTCATTAAGATAATCTCTACTGACAATGTCTATTTAATAAGCAAAACAATAATTTTAAAGGAAAAAATCTAACAGAGTTGTAGAAAGATCTGCTAATAAATTAATTTTACAGATTTTTATTTTACTTTAAGTTCTGGGACACATGTGCAGAACATGCAGTTTTGTTACATAGGTATACATATGCCATGGTAGTTTGCTGCAACCATCAACTTGTCATCTAGGTTTTAAGCCCCACGTACATTAGCTATTTGACCTAATGCTCATCTTCCATTTGCCTTCCACCCACCGAAGGCCTCTGTGTGTGATGTTCCCCTCCCTGTGTCCACGTGTTCTCATTGTTCAACTCCAACTTATGAGTGAGAACATGCAGCGTTTGGTTTTCTGTTCCTGTGTTAGTTTGCTGAGAATGATGGTTCACAGCTTCATCCATGTTCCTGCAAAGAACATGAACTCATTCTTTTTTTATGGCTGCATAGCATTCCATGGTGTATATGTGCCACATTTTCTTTATCCAGTCTATCATTTGGGTTGGTTCCAAGTCTTTGTTACTGTGAATAGCACTGCAATAAACATACGTGTGCATGTGTCTTTACAGTAGAATGATTTATAATCCTTTGGGTATATACTTAGTAATGGGATTGCTGAGTCAAATGGTATTTCTGGTTCTAGATCCGTGAAGAATCACCGCACCGTCTTCCGCAATGGTTGAACTAATTTACACTCCCACCAACAGAGTAAAAGCAATTCCTATTTCTCCACATCCTCTCCAGCATCTGTTGTTTCCTTACTTTTTAATGATCACTCTTCTAACTGGCGTGAGATAGTATCCCATTGTGGTTTTGATTTTTATTTCTCTAATGAAAAGTGATGATGAGCTTTTTTCATATGTTTTTTGGCCACAAAAATATCTTCTTTTGAGAAGTGTCTGTTCATATTCTGAACCCACTTTTTGATGCAGTTTTTTTTTGTAAATTTGTTTAAGTTACTTGTAGATTCTGTATATTAGCCCTTTGTCAGACGGATATATTGCAAAAATTTTCTCCCATGCTGTAGGTTGCGTTTTCACTCTGATGTTAGTTTCTTTTGCTGTGCAGAAGCACTTTAGTTTAATTAGATCCCATTTGTCAATTTTGGCTTTTGTTGCAATTGCTTTTGATGTTTTAGTCATGAAGTTGTTGCCCATGCCTGTGTGCTGAATGATGCTGCCTAGGTTTTCTTCTAGGGTTCTTCTGGTTTTAGGTCTTACGTTTATGTCTTTGAACAAACTTGAGTTAATTTTTGTATAAAAATTAACTTATACCTTATACCTTTATGGCAACATAAAAGTCTTCAATAAATGTATTTTGACAGAGTAGGAAAAGGAATACCACCTGAATCTCACATACAAAATAATCAAAGCACCAATTTTGTCTATGTATGTAGGTATGCATTTAGGTATGTATGTATCTATCTATCTGTGCACATTCAACTATCTTTTCTGTAAATTTTTACGTTATTGAAAAATATCCAGAGGAAAGAAATCTGTCTAGGGATGTTGACAGTCTAAAAAGAAGAGCTTCTGTACACCGATCTTATTGCTACACTTGCTACTCTTTCAAGGGGATTTGCAACGTGGTTTTCATTTCATACTGATTGATTTTAGATGAGTTTATATAATTATTATGATTGGTTTCTTGTTTGTTTATCCTTTTTAGACACTTTTTCATATACCCCTTCATTTTCTTATTTTATATTTATTGTATTACCAACTATGCACATTATGTGAAAGAATTTTTAAAATACAAATTATTGAATATGTGCGTAAGATATGATAATAATAAAAAAGTTACTGAGCTGAGCACAATGACACAAGCCTGTAGTCCCTGCTACTGGTTAGGCTCAAATGAGAGGCTCCCTTGATCACAGGATTTTGAGGCCAGCCTGGGCAACATAGAGAGAACTTGCCTCAAAAATAACGGTAACAACATAAAACAAGGTATTGAATAAAAAGATAGCAGAGTAGAAAGATTAACGGTGGAAAAGGAGGATGAAGAAAAAGGAGGAGGGGAAGGGAAGGGAGAGGTAGAGGTGAAAGGAAGAGAGGAGGGGAAGAAGAAGAAAGTACATGGTAGTTACTTTTAAATACTTTCTCCAAGCTCTGATACTGCAGACAAGAAATAAAGTGTTTGTCCACATTAAATAAATTAGTCAATTAGTGAAGCGGAACATGCATGTCTTGGATTTACTTCAAATACATTATTAATATTAATAAAAAAGACTTGCTTAATTCTACATATTAAATCTAGTTAGTGGCCTTCACATTTTTCATGAGTGCTGTTAGCTGCTGCCTGTAACTGAGCCCCTTATCCCACCTGGTTCTGTATTAAGTATATTTAGCTGATCTCCTTTTCTTATGTTTTTCACTTCCTTAATATCTGACCTTGTCTTTTGGTCATTTACTTTCCCACCTTATGGAAGAAATCATAAAATGTATCTTAAAATTTGTTTAGAATGTTCTAAATAAAATGTCATGTCATGTGTCACTTCACCAAATGTTTGGAAATTTCATATGCATACACACACACCTATATATATATATATTTAGAGTTATAGTGATGTATTTGTTTGTTTGTATTTTATTTACTTAATTTCCCTTGTGATAGGCAGAAAGATCAAAGAATTTGTCAGGACCTTCTCCCATGTGTCTGAATCTTTGAAATCAGAACTTCTACAAATATGAAGCAGTTTCAACTGCTCCGTAATATATCAGGAAGATGATATTAACATTTAATCACTTTTAAAGAGCTATGTAAACTGTCATTAATTTATGTAGATAGCTCTAAGTTAAACAGTGCCAGAAAATATGGTTTTATAAATTATTTTCATTCAATGAGCTATTTTCCCTATTTTTTTACTTTTATGTTGATAAACAGGTACTTTACACTGCATGTTATTGAGTGTCAAAATGAATATTTGATGGTTTTGAAGTCACATTATCCTTATGGAGTCATTTTATCTTTAGATTTTATTGGTGATAGTAAAAACATGATTAATGATTTTAAAGTCTTACAGATGCCAGAGAAAGCAAGCTTGTATTTCTAAATCTCTAATGCTTGAACATTAGCACCTGGAGTTTCATGTCTTTTCTGTTCATTATATACTTTCTCCCTCTTTAAAAGAGGCTAGATTGCTCTCTTACCAGTTCCATTTCAGCCAAGTAATTGGCCACTCTTTAATTTCTTTTCACTGAGCCAGCTTTGTTGCACAGTCTTCTATTTAGCTTGAATCCAGAATTAAGAGCTGGTCATTCCAGAAACTGATTATAGCACATCAGACTTGGCAATTAGATTATTGTATTTCTCTACTAAAAAGGATTTATAGATAGTTGGTATCATCTTCAAATTATACACTGACTTAAATTTTATTTAGTAGCTGATACTACTCAACAAATATTCATTAAATTTGTAGTATGTGCAGATTTTTTTAGTCACAAGGGATATGAAGATAACTAGATAACTAAAGCATGGACTCTATGAGTTAAGTAATTAATAGTCTAATTCAGAAGACTAAATCCTGAACCAAGGCCTTCGGGACGCTTCCTACCGAAATTTTTTTTTTTTTTTTTTGAGACAAAGTCTCACTTTGTTGCCCAGGCTGAATTGCAGTCGCACCATCTCAGCTCACTGCAACCTCTGCCTCCCAGATTCTAGCAATTCTCCTGCCTCAGCCTCCCAAGTAGCTGGGGCTACAGGTGCACCACCACACCCAGCTAATTTTTGTATTTTTAGTAGAGATGGATTTTACCATGTTGGCCAGGATAGTCTGGAACTCCTGAATTCAGGTGATCCATCCACCTCGGCCTCCTAACTGACAATGTTTCTGTCAAAAAGTACTATTGAAACATTTACTATCTAGACATTTAAATAAAATGTTTGCTGACTCTTTCTCTATTGGTTACATTGGTTTGAAAAGGTTGAATATATTCATCTACTTTAGTATGTATTTTTTCATGTTAATGTTTATGAATGATTGATATAAATTATACATACAAACTATATATATGCACATATATATATTCTCCACACACATATTTCTGTGTACACGTATGCATATATTTTTCCTAATTATAACTTAAACTTTGAAAAAATTTCTCAATGCTGGATTTCTAGCAAAAGAGCTTAGTTACCTTAATTGGACTCGGACAAAAATGTCTTAGGCTGATTGACTGTAAAGATCTCCACATAACCAGATCACTTTTCAGGCTTTTTTTTTTTTTTTTTGACAAAGTCTCGCCCTGTCGCCCAGGCTGGACTGCAATGTGCAATGGCGCAATCTCGGCTCACTGCAAACTCCACCTCCCTGCGTTCAAGCGATTCTCCTGCCTCAGCCTACCGAGTAGCTGGGATTACAGGCGCCCACCACCACGCCCAGCTAATCTTTGTATTTTTAGTAGAGACAGGGTTTCACCATGTTGGCCAGGTTGTTGTCGAACTCCTGACCTCAGGTGATCCACCCTCCTCAGCCTCCCAGTTTTGGGATTACAGGCGTGAGCCACTGTGCCTGGCCTCTTTTTAGTCTTCTTAATCACAAAACAATTATTTTTCCCCAACACGAGCATAGGAATTGAAAGGTGCAGGAGAAGAAAAAGGTACCATTTAAGAGGCTTTATCAGACAGATTATTCTGCCCTGTAAGTCTATTCTAATTTTTTTTCTGATGGATTATTAATTTGTTGATTATTGCCAAAGTAGTCATTCATTTCGTTTTGTTTTGTGTTATGTTTTATTTATGCATGGGACTGGCTCATAGTCAATGCTCTGTCAACATTTGTTGAATTTACTTTGTAGTCTCTCTAGTGGCATTTTTTTTTTCAACTTTTAAGTTCAGGGGTACATGTGCAAGTTTGTTTTATAGGTAAATTACATGTCACAGGGGTTCGGTGTACAGATTAGTTCATCATCCAGGTAATAAGCATAGTACCTAATAGATAGTTTTAAGATCCTTACCCTCCTCCCACTCTCCACACTCAAGTAAGTCCTGGTGTCTCTTTTACCTTCTTTATGTCCCTGTGTACTCAGTGTTTAACTCCCACTTATAAGTGACAACATGTGGTGTTTCAGTTTCTGTTCCTCTGTTAGTTTGTTTAGGATAATGCTCTCCGGATCCATTTATGTTGATACAAAGACATGATCTCGTTCTTTATCATGGCTGCATAGTATTCAATCGTGTATATGTACCACATTTTCTTTATCCAGTCTATCGTTGATGGGCATCTAGGTTGATTCTGTGTCCTTGCTATTGTTAATAGTGCTGCAATGAACATATGTATGCGTGTGTCTTTATGACAGAATGATTTATATTCCCTTGGATATATACTCAATATAAGATTGCTGGGTCAAATGGTGTTTCAGTTTGAAGTTCTTTGAGAAATCACCAAACCACATTTCACAATGATTGAAGTAATTTACATTCCCACCAGAAGTGTATAAGTGTTCCCTTTTCTCCACAGTCTCACCAGCATTTGTTATTTTTGTTTACTTTTTCATAATAGCCATTCTGACTGGTGTGAGATGGTATCTGGTTGTGGTTTTCATATTCATTTCTCTAAAGTTTAGTGATGTTGAACATTTTGATATGCTTATAGATCATGTGTATGTTTTCTTTAGAAAAGTATTTGTTCATGCCTTTTGCCCACTTTTTATGTTTTTCTTTTCTGGTAAACTTGTTAAATTTCTTTATAGAGGCTGGATATTAGGCCTTTGTTAGATGCATAGATTGCAAAATTTTTCTCCCATTCTGTAGGTTGTTTTTATTACCCTGTTGATTGTTTCTTTTGTTGTGCAGAGGCTCTTAAATTTAACTAGATCATATTTGTCAATTTTTGCTTTTGTTGTAATTGCTTTTGACATCTTTGTCGTGAAATTTTTGCCAGTTCCTATATTCAGAATTATATTACCTAGGTGGTCTTCTTAGATATTCATAGTTCTGAGGTTTACATTTAAATCTTTAATCTATCTTGAGTTGATTTTTATATATTATGTAAGGAAGGGGTCCAGTGTCAATATTCTGCATATGGCTAGCCAGTTATCTCATCACCATTGATTTAACAGGAAGTCCTTTCCACATTGCTTGTTTTTGACAGCTTTGTTGAAGATCAGATGGTTGTAGGTATCTGGCCCTATTTCTGAGTAGCCCCTTTTTAAAATGTTGATTTTAAAGTCAAGGTGAATTGGAGCAATCAGTCCTTCAGGTATGCTAAATATTTTGATCTATGTGTTGCAAAGAAGCTCTTTAATGTCAATGTTCTGTGTTTTTTCTAATTCTGCAAATAATGCCATTGGTAGTTCGATAATTTGATAGGAATAAAATTGAATCCGTAAATTGCTTTGGGCAGAATAGCTATTTTAACAATATTGATTCTTCCCATCCATGAGCATGGAATGTTTTCTCCATTCATTTGTGCAATCTGTGATTTCTTTGAACAGCATTTTATAATTCATGTTGTAGAGATCTTTCATCTCCCTGGCTAGCTGTCTTCCTAGATATTTTCTTCTTTTTTGTGGCTCCTGTGAATGGGATTGGGTTACTGATTTCGCTCTCACCTAGGATGTTGTTGATGTATAGAAATGGTACTGATTTTTGTTCATTGAGTTTGTATCCTAAAACTGCTGAAGATGTTTATCAGATCAAGGAACTATTGGACAGACACTAAGGGGTTTTCTAGGTATAAAATCATATTGATCATATTGTCTATAAAAAGAGATATTGGACTTCCTCTCTTCCTATTTGGATGCTTTTTATTTCTTTCTCTTGCCTGATTGATCTGGCTAGGAATTCCCAGAACAATGTTGAATAGAAATGGTGAGACAGAGCATCTTTGTCTTGTTCTTGTTTTCAAGGGGAATGCTTCCAGCTTTTGCTCATTCAGTATGATGTTGTCTGGGGGTTTTTTACAGATGGCTCTTATATTTTGAAGTATGTTCTTTCAATCCCTAGTTTGTTGAGGGTTTTGAACACAAAAGGATGCTGAATTCTATCAAAATCTTTTTTATTCCATACATTAGAGCAAACATGTTTTAGGTATGTTTATATATATATAATATATATAATATATATATTAATATTATATATAATATATATTATATATATTTATTCCAGACTCACATAAACATAGCACAGACCAATGATTGATTACTAGATATTTAGTTAGAAGTAAATATGAATTGAAACCCATCTACCAAGTTCAGAAATAGTATGTGAAAATGTACATCTAGGATCCAGGAAAAATAATATTTTACTTAACAAGTCATTCCTTTGTACATGTGTTTTTTACATGGGTTTATAAAAATCATTAAGCTCTTCTAAAAACTAAGCCATAAATCTAATACTAAACATTAAGGATCAGTGGAATTAACCAGTGTCTGCATATCTGTTTTGATACTCACTGGGTGGTTAAGAAACTGAATAAGCAAACTAAGGAGCCCAAATAGAAAATCTACTGAAATTGAATTTCTTCATTGGAATCAAATTTAACATATAACATATTTATCCAAGTTTGCTCTTGCATTTGGCTTTTATTCCTTTTACTAGCCCATCTTTTACAAAAGTACATTATTGACAGAAGGCAGCTCTTTTCCCTAGTGCGTGAAGCACTTTTTATTTCTCTAAAATAAAAGGTGGTAACTGTGACTGTGGAGAAAGGCCGTCACTACTAAACCCAAGGTACCAAGTAAGGAAGGCAAGCAGGGAAGAAATGTGCTACCTACGATTCTCTCCTCCTGTCCCCTCATCTGTCGATGTCTGAAGTATTTCCAGTATCCTAACTGGTGCCTTGTTTCTTATTGCCACACAGATGATTCTTAGCATGGCAGCCAGACTAAGCCATTCTATAGAGAAGTCAAACCATATTACTTCTCTTCCTAAAGCCTTGCAATGGCGTTCTGTAAAGGCCGAAGTTCTTCCAATGGTTTAGAAAGTCTGGATTAATTTCTATTTTTCCCCTGACTCCCCATCTCCTCACATGCGCTTTGTTTTAGGCTCTCACATCCTAGTACTCTCCTCTGGCTCACTCCACTGTGGTCTCACTCCTGACTGTACCTTTAAATTTGGACTTGTTTCTCCCTCAGGGCTTTTGCTCAACTGCACTCACATAACAACATGTACTTGGCTTCCTTTCTCACCTCTTTCAAATTTTCCTTCAAGTCCAGTCTTCTCATTGAAGCCAGACCTGATTATCTGTTTAATATTTCAATGCACACTCATCTTGAGCCCAGTCTCTGGTATCCCAACTTAATTTTCCATTTATTTATTTATTTTTGCACAGCATTTATCACCTCCTACCATCTTACACGTTTCTGATTCATTATGCTTTTTTTTTTTCTTTTTTATTGCTGATTGTTTGTTGCTTTCTCCTTGCTAGATTGAGCAGTCTGGAAATCAAGCATCTTTGTTCATTGATGGTACTGAAGCACCAAGAGTGCCAAATAAAAAATTAATAAATACTTGTTGGGAGTAATAAATAAATGCCAAGACTTACTGGTTTTAATTGACCTAAAGAAATGATGTATTTATCCTAATATTAGGATAAGTAATCACTTAAGTCTAAGCTTATGAGAGGAATTACACCAACTGTGTATAAACAAAAGTATTTGATAATTTTTGCTAAGAATTCAGCATTTTTGTTTAAAGACAGGGTTTGAAAATGGTGGCACTATGTGGATTGTTAGAGTATATATATTGTGTGTACAAATGTATGTAATTCATTAAAGTAATATTTTGGTTTTTTACATCAATAAATTATTTCTGAAATAGTTTCATAGCCCCAGATTCTAAATATGTAATATTAGCTTAAAATGTCATAGTTTGACAAAATTTATGAACAACTAGCTTCACTGCCTACTCCTTCAGTCAGGCAGCATATTTCACTTCATATTCCATTCTTTGTTTTCCAAGGGAATGTGTTAGCAAAGCAAAATGTGGAGTATAATACATGAAAAAGGAAGTTGTAGAGGTTATGAATAGATCCTCACAAACTTTTCTCTCTAAGGAGGAAAAATATTCTAGCCAAGTCTGCTCATGCTTTTAGAAATAGTTCTGAAAATCTTGGTTTGCTATCTCTTAAGTGGGTGGCTATTTAAGAATTGTTCATTTCTCTTTCTGGCATCAGCTGGCATCAGATTTTTACTTTAGTCATCCACTTAAAACCTTAGTTTGGGATGAGTTGTTATGGTCACAAAATGTATCCTTTTGAGTACTGGAGACCTGGGTTCTAGACCTGGCTCAATTATGTTCTAGCTGAATGATCAGTAGGCAAATCATTAAATCGAAGTTTCTGATTTCTTCATATACTTATCAATCTGTAATTTTTATCATCTCTGAGGTTAAAATGATATAATATATAAATAAAAAGATTTTAAAGGTATTGTTCAAGTGTTAAATATTTTTACTGTAGAGTATCATTAAAATAACCTAAATTAATAAAATAGAAGGTGAACTGTTGGTTTTACATAGTAATTTCTTCCAATTAATAACAAAAGGTTAAAAAATAAGATGACAATATTTAAAATTATTGATACTTTTCTTTGATTGAAGAACAAATACAGAAGTTTCATGGTTCCTTAAGGTCATTATTATGACTAGCAATATTGTTGACAATGGAAGAAAGCTGTAGAAGAATTAATTAATGTGGACAAGAGATGGCCACATTAATACTCTCAAGGTGGTGTTGAATTTTGTCTAATTCACCATTAACAGAATAATTGCTTTCCAGTGAAATTTGTGTATTCTCTACAGATTGTCATGAGCCTTTCCAAATAGAGATTAAGTTAGAACTGACCTGATGCTGTATTATTGCCAATAATAAAGAATAGTAAGGGTCTTTCTTGCCTATCAAATGTACAAAATAATTTAGAAATTAAATATTTTCTATACAGTATAACTCAGAAACAGACTCAAGTTTATATAAATCTGAATTATAATCTATTGCTGATAAGGAATATAATGTAATTGACAAAAAAGCCAACTCTTATATCTATTAGTCAATACATTCTTCCATTGAGAAGTACCATAAGAAGTAAAAATATAATCGAACAATTGTTTCTCAGTTGTGGATTCAGAACTGGGGTGCAATTTTAATATGAAAAGTGTTGCTATTAGTGATATGGACAGGAGACAGGGAAATACTGGGTCCAAGAGAGTGGTTCCCCGGCAAAGGCCCCATCCTCAAGCCCGAAGACCTGAGGCCCTAAATGAGGACAGGTATTTCTGCTTTCATGCCCCAAAAGTTGCCTTTTGGCCTGCCACCCCCTCATCCTGCCCCCATATAAACCCGAGACCATAGCAGTCACACACACATGTGGCTGAACGTAGGGACCAGCAGAGCAGCTACTGCAGAGCAACATGGCAGAGAAATAGAGAAGAGGAGGGATGTCTGGAGGCTAAGGGGAGTTCAGCCAGGGACGGTAGAAGAGTCCAGCTGATGGGTGGCCAGACTCCAGGCGAAGACCACCTTCCCACTCCATCTCCCCTGCTTCTGGCTCCCCATCCATCTCACTGAGAGCCACCTCGACCCCTCAATAAAAACTTGCACTCATTCTTGGAGCCCAAATGTGATGCAATTTTTTCCAGTACACTGGGCAAGGACTCCGGCTGTCACACTGGCCTCTTGCCCTTGCAATAAGACAGAGGGTCCATTGAGCTGATTAACACATAAGCTGTCTAGAGACAGCAAATATGAAAGAACTTGGAAACGCACACCCATCTGGGCTTCAGGAGATGCAGACACTCACCCCTAGTTGCTGCTGTGGGGTCAAAGCCCAAAAGCGCTCATGCCAGCCTCTGTACCTGCCCGTCTGCCTGATCCCCCTAGGGGTTTGAACTTCAGGGCAACCAAGCATGCAACACCCTTGTTGCACATCCTGCGAGGGGAATCAGGGAACTCTCCTGTTTCATAAGGAAAGTTTAATATTAGGTAATAATAGAATAACAATATTTTTACATACAAGAATGCATGTCATCTATGTTAGTGACTTAGCAGGGATTTTTGGTCCAGTTACTTGAAAATATGTCATGGTCATGTGGTCTCTGGATGGATTGCTGTAGTATGACATTATATTTAAAACTAGCTGGTTACCTTTCCAGACACTTTTGTTGGAGAAAACAGTAATAAATTGCTGTGAAGAGTGCTAAAATACTGCATTTGACCTAAAAAATAGTTGTTTCTCCAAATTAAAGAAGGGAGATTATTTACAAAGCTAGATAAAATAAGTTTGAAATGAATCCCAACGTTTAATGATACTAGCTATTACAAAATAACTCCAACTATTAGTAAGCTTAGTTCAGTTACATTACCTCTTATATCACCTTTGAATTGTTCTTGAAGCATTGCTTATTTTCTGGACAGCATTGCCAATACAGTTTAGCTAACTGTGAGGCCTGCCTGTCAACTACTTCCCTTCTGTATTTCTAATGGTTTGGAGAGTAATTACTCCCCAGAGGCTGTAGCATGCCCCGTGCAATATGAGCTGAGCAGTCTGACCAGAAATTCTTATAGGCCTAAGCCTGGGCTCCTGCCAACTCAAACAGTAGGAGGATTCTTGGCTTCTAAAGTAATTTTGGTACACAAAGCCAAGAAAGAGTTTCTGGATGGTTTTAGTTGATTTTAGATTTTAAAAGCCGTGGGTTCCTTGAACAGACCAGGCTACTTTATGAGAAAAAAACTGAAAAGTACTGACTAAAATTGGTCTTTTCTTCATTATCCTAGGT
Organism: Homo sapiens; assembly: GCF_000001405.40. Taxonomy (NCBI): domain Eukaryota; kingdom Metazoa; phylum Chordata; class Mammalia; order Primates; family Hominidae; genus Homo; species Homo sapiens. The sequence goes on along the minus strand of NC_000011.10, from coordinate 38,460,876 downwards.
AATCTAGGCTATTGGAGATGGGGAACGTTGAGTCGCACCACTCCTGTTGCTTTAAAATAGGCCGTTTTACCTAACAAGATAGGACTCTATTTTTTCTTTTTCTTTTTCTTTTTTTTTTTTTGGGGGGATACAGTGTCTAGCTCTGTTGCCCAGGCTGGAGTGCAGTGGCATGATCTTGGCTGACTGCAACCTCCACCTCCCAGGTTCAAGCAATTCCCATGTCTCAGCCTGAGTAGCTGGGGATTCATGCAACTTAATATGACAAGTTAGCTAGGAATTTTTCCTCCCAGCCATCAACATTTAACCTTTGTTGCACATAAATGCATGAAATAAATTAGCCACAACTTTTGAAAACATTGCAATAAAATGCATAACTGCAGAGGACGAAACCAGATGAAATGGAAAAATATTTATCTGAAAATAAGTAAATGTGTTTGACCATTTGGTTGGTATATGATGTGCTTTTTCTCTAAAATCATGGACAAGTCAATATTCACTTTAATATTAAATTTAAATATTAAAATACATGAATTTCTATCAAAGATATAAGTAGGTTTATTAAATTATTATCATTTTATTTTAGTATTGCCTTGCTTAAAGTTAGCAACTTAAGATATTATTTAAAGATAATATTGTATACCCTTCATTGAGGAAAAGGAAATTCTATGAGAAAATAAGACAATAAATACCCTAATTATTTTATCTTTTTAATATTATTAATGAAGTCTTATGCAAAGTAAAAGTGAACATACTCATTAATATCTTTTCCAATGAATCCAATACCTCATAGAATTAAGTAATCTATAATTTAAAAATATCACAAAATATTAGTAGAAAAGTAATTTTTGATTTCATAAAGTTTTGGCACATTGTTGGGAATTAACTAGCATGACTTTTTATAGGTTACATGTTAACAAAATCGGGATTACTGCAAATGAATCATACTTTTTAAAAAAATCCTGGGGTAAATTATATTCTAATGTATATGATTAAGAAAGATTAATTTTAAAAACATTTTATTGAAATTTTATTTTATGTGTTACTGTTTTATGCCCAGAGATGACAGTAGTAGCCGTAGATAAAAGTTTCCTGCTCTTATATACCCTTTTATTTACAAGAAAGCTTATGTGTATTTCAAACTTATTTACTCTATCATGTGAAAGTCTTCTGGTCTCACACTATTTCTGTATACTGCATTAAGTGATTAAGGACATTGTGCAGAGGAGCATGCTGCTGGCAGATGGAGGGGAAACCACTTCTATCATTAGTCTCCCAGAACATTAGACTATTTTGAAAGATAGTCTACTCAAAGGAAGAATACTTAAACAATTGTTCAGTGACTCTTTGATTAGTACTATTTTTCTATTTGAAGGCTACAATGACTAAAACATTATAAATGTTGCCTTGTAGAAATAGATGGAACTGTTAAGCAATATTGTATACTGCATTCAACTATACTGTGTTCAGTTATCTATCTCTCCTTCAAGTAATCTTTTTGACTTGGATTACATTGACTCTGTTTTCAGAGATAATCTTTATTAGTCTGGGCCATTTATAGTACTCCATCTGTTTCGCCAATGATAGTATGGAAGTCTTGGCTTTAAGCAATCAACATATGGCATTTCCTGGTGATTATTACTGGTCTACAAATTGGCACATAGTCTATGTTAGCTCAGTGAGATTAAAGAAAAGCATTTGTATTCTCTGCTTAAATGAATAGTTGTCTCTCCTCCACTAAAAGTGAAGAGGGAACAGTCATGAGTTGATATGGTTTTGCTGTGTCCCCACTGAAATCTCATCTCGAATTGTAGTTCCCATAATCCCCATGTGTCATGGGAGGGACCAGGTGCGAGGTAATTGAATCATGGGGTTGGTTACTCCATGATGTTCTTGTGATAGTGAGTGAGTTATCATGAGATCTGATAGTTTTATAAGGGGCTTTTCCACCTTTGCCCAGCACTTCTCCTTCCTGCAGCCATGTGAAGAAGAATGTGATTATTTTCCCTTCTGCCATGATTGTAAGTGTCCTGAGGCTTCCTGAGCCATGCTGAACTGAGTCAATTAAACCTCTTTCCTTTATAAATTACCCAGTCTTGGGTATGTCTTTATTAGCAGCATGAGAACCAACTAAAACATGAGTGAAGCCAGCCTAAAGGAAGAACCAAGATAATCACAGTCTATACTCCCTATTGTTTAATGTCATATTAAATGTGAAAAAAGTTACTTTATTCAATTTACACTACTTTAAATTGGGTTCTCTATAACTTGAAGCTAAATGTATCTTCAACTGATACAGCCAATAAGAGACAAAGCCTTATTTAAACCCAATTCTCTCTGACTCCAAATCCAATTCTTTTTCATGGTGTTTGAAATAAATGGAATGTATATATTCAGCGACGTTGTAAGTCAACTAATTCTAACCTGATATGCTATAGCTTGCTATGTCTTGTTTTCATATTCTTCAGATAATTGTCTGATTATTCAGATTTATGAAAAACAGCAACAAATGCACAAACACCTTACCACTCAGAGGATCTAACTAAATTGAGTGGCTTTGGAAAATTTAATCAATATCAAAATTATAACCCAAATTCCAAGTTTACATTTTCATTTTTAAAAATTTTGCTAGTATAAATAATTATACAGATTATTTTTGTTTATTTTGACCACATGTTCTTGCTAGTCCTTTCCCTTTGCATGAATAATGGAGTTGCCAATGTGATTTGGGGTTGTAATATTTTCCTACAATGATGAAAAACCACCTTTGTATATTTTTTTAGATTTCAAAAGCTATATGTATAGGGGTTAAAGGGAAGAAAGAGGAGCATATAAATAAATTGATTCAAAAGAATTTATTCAACACCTGGTTGTGAGAAATACACTACAGGCACATTAAATATTGTGATTGATTCTGGAAAAGTTGATCGATAAAAAATTTATGGGAAGCAATATTCAGAAAGGAAAAATAAAAGTTAATCTTTTCAAGTTATAGGATCCTTTTCAGCAGAGATAAACAATTTAGAAAGTCATATGATAGATAAGTGTTGGTAAGCATTAATTTCAACAAGGAGAGGGAGAATGTGGTTAATCTGGAGGAAGAAAACGTAGTGTTTGTTCAGTAGAAAGCATGTGTTCAGCCAGTTTAAGGGAATAAGGAAAGTTGAGCAAAACAGAACAGAAGCAAGATATCAATAGAAGGCTGCAAATCATTATTATTTTGGGGACAATTAAAGTCATGTGGGTCAAAAGCAAACGTAGATTTTTCAAAAAGGAAGACTGGGATATACTAGGCCAACATCTTTGTAGTTTTGGTAGTGCTGTGAGTCTGCCATTCACAATAGTGATATGATAATAAAAGAGTTACCTTAAATTGAGTTAATTATTAGAGAGGAGGGAACTAACTTTGGTTAGAGAATGTTAGAAAGGAGTATCTAGAATGAAACTGCATGATGAACAAAAGAGTTCATAATAGAATATCTCATACCGTAGATAAAAAAGATTGAACAGCCTGAACTTTGGGAAAATTCTTATTTACTGCAAGTAAGTTTCATTTCCTTCTGTGGTTGTCATAGCAAGTTTAAATAATTAATTAAGTGTTTTTGGATCAATGTTGTCTAAGTTGCCTTTGATATCACCACTGCAGAGAAGGACGCATTCCAAAACCCCCAGGGGATGACACCTGAACCGATAGATAGCACCTAAACCTATATATACTATGTATTCCCTATCCATATGTTTCTATGATAAGATTTAATTTATAAATTATGCATTAAGAAATTAACAACAATAACTAATGATAGAATATAACACTTATAACAATATGCCAGCATCGCTACTCTTGCACTCTGGGGCTATTATTAAGTAAAATAAAGGTCTCTTGAAGACAAGCATTATTATACTGTGACAAGTCAATCCAAAAACTGAGATGGTTACTAAATGACTAAAGGCAAGTAGTATATACAGTGTGGATACACTAAATAAAGGAATAATATTATTTCCATCATATAGCATTTCAAGCACAAGTAGTCTAGGCTGGTATAATAGCTTCACATGTCTAGAGTTCAGGCTACCTTTTTGATATTCTGTCTTTAATGTGTCACCCATGATCTCAAAAACTTGCTCTAGCTCTTGCTATCATACCTGACTTGATAACAATATATTAGCCTCTAGAGGCTCCTACACTGGATTTTAAGGTTATATGAGGCAATACATTTTCTTTATTGGATTGGGTTATGTTCAGTTGGGTTATGTTCATCCTCATTCTTCTCTCTAAATAACAATCCAGGTATTTCAATCCTTGTATTTATTATAGCATGCTATGGTTATTTACTTTGTGACTCAAGATTATGGGCTATAATGAGTCATATTCACTCTTCTTTTTTCCTCCCTTAACACATATTCTGACAGAAAGTCGAAGTCTAATGAAAATTATCGAATAAATGAACTAGATGATAAGAATTCAAGGAATTAAACTGCAAATTTCATAAACGTCTATGCCATATTTGTTTTTGAAAGAAAGCATCCTGGAAATACTTGTCTGGAAACCAGAAAGCCAGAATTGAGTTTGGCTTTGTAACTCACTATTTTTTTTTCTGAAGCCATTTTGTCATCTGTGCTTATGTTTTCACAGCAAGAAGCTTTCTAATAGAAATTAGTATTCTTTTCTTCTCTTTCTGTTCTTTACTTATTTCTCCTTATACATGGAAAGGTGACTTTCCAATATATCCAATATAGTGGGTGAACTTGGGAAAGGAAACTAGTAATGAACATGTTCAGTTTTATCCCTTCTTGTATTCACTTTGGGATGTGCCAACATGCAGACTTACGTGTTTAAGTTTCCCTTCTGCTATGCACTATAATACTCTGACCTTTTAGAGTGAATCCTGTAATTGATCTAGCTGTTAGCATATGTGCATAATTATGTGTAATTTAGTGATGAAGTATTAAAAACAGCACTTAGCCATCAACTGAAGTCTTGTCTTCCAATGGCTCTATCAGTAGCTGATGTAACAGTTTTTTCTCCATCCTCTGTATCTTAGTCCACGCAGGCTACCATAACAAAATACCATAAACTGGGTAGCTTATAAGCAACAGAAATTTATTTCTTACAGTCATGGAGGTGAGGAAGTGAAGGATCAAGGTACCTGCACATGTAGTGTCTGGTGAGGGCCCCACATTCTGGTTCATAGACCACAACTTCCAGCTGTGATCTCACATGGTGGAAGGAGCAAGGCTGTTCTCTAGGACCTCTTTACTAAGGGCACTAATCATATTCTCATAACTAAATCACCTCCAAAAATGTCTACCTTCTAATACCATCACATTTGTGGTTAGGTTTTTAACATATTAATTTGGCTGGGTGGGGGTGGGGGAGGGAGGCGTGTTGCAGAGTCATTCAGACCAAAGGACTGTGTTTATATCTTAACAATTTTCTTTCACATAAGAACATTAAAAAGTTTCTCAACAATCTCTAAATCAACAAAATTATCCATGACCTGAGTTCAGAAATTTTAATTGCATGTGCCTGACATTATTTGCCAGGATAATTACATGAATATTACAGATTTCATACTATCATAAAATTATAGTCTAAGTGTCCTTCCAAACATCTGAATTATATAACACTAGTACAGTATAAGAATATTAGTTATTCAGGTATTCACCAATGTAACTTATCATCAGAGTCATTGGGAGACTTCTAATAACTAAAGAATTATTTAAAATCAATAGAGCTACTCAATCAGACTTTCTGAGAAAAAATAGAAATTCAGTATTCTTGCCTGTTTTTAAGTTATTCAGGTGATTATCACTATCTGCCATTTTACAAAAGTTCAAGAACCACTAATTTAATACCCTATCATGGCCAAAATCTAACACATTTAATGACCAATAATACTTCCAGCACCAGATGACTAGGAGGATTTAGACACTATATGTTGACTTAGTGTACTCCAAACTTTTCTGCAAGAAATAGAAGTGTCCAGTGAGATATTGATTGGTCTCACACATAGCACATGTGTGCAAATACACGCACAAACACACATACATCAATTACAGATACTGATACAGTTTGGTTCTGTGTCCCCACCCAAATCTCACCTTGAATTGTAATATTCTCCGCAGGTCATGGAAGGGACCCGGTGGGAGGTAACTGAATCATGGGGGTGGGTTTTTTCCTGTGCTGTTCTTGTGATAGTGAATAAGTCTCATGAGATCTGATCATTTTATAAAGGGGAATCCCTGTGCCTGCTGCCATGTAAGACGTCCTTTGTTCTTCCTTCATCTTATGCCATGATTGTGAGGCTTCCCCAGCCATGTGGAACTGAGTCCATTAAACCTCTTTTTTTTTTTTTATTATTAGCCTCGGGTATGTCTTTATTAGCAGTTTATTAGCAGTGTGAGAACACACTAATACAGACACCATAGAGATTACTGTAGCGAAACACATTTGGAAATACTAGAGAAAGTCAAAGTTAAAAAGTCGCAAAGATTTATTAGAAATTTAGTATCTTGGAGTACTTTGTAATTCTACAAGAGCTGGTAAGGTATCTGTATTTTCCATTTACATTCGATTCTGAACTCCAATATAATTGGACCACATTTTGGGAAATATTGAGTTTATATCTATAAAAATGCACTATTAATTATAAATTTCAATAATATGTATACTATTATATAGCATTATTATTATATTATTTATAAACTACATTCATATTTGCTCAAATTGAATGGCCAAATTAAAATCTTATATTTTTTATTTACATATAACAGTTGTACAAATTTTGGGGGTACATATGATACTTTGATACCTGTATACAATATATAATGATCAAATCAGGGTATTTGGGATATCCATAACCTCAAATACTTTTCTTTGTGTAGGGAACATTATAATTCTTTTTCTTTAGCTATTTTGAAATATCTTATTTCAAATAGCTAAGGGAAAATTAGCTATTTTGAAATAAATTATTGTTAATTATAATTTCCCTACTGTACTATCAAATACTAGAACTTATTCCTTCTATCCAACCATATTACTGTATCATGTAATCAAATTCTCTTCACTCCCTTCTCCTGCCTTCACATCCCAGCCTTTGGCAACCACTATTCTACTGTCTGCTTCCATGAGATCCACTTTTTTAACTCCCAAATATGGAGTGAGAACATATGATATTTGACCTTAAAAACTTAGTATCTCAGATCAATACTGTCAGATAAGATCAAATTTGTCTTCCATCTTTACTGGACATATAGGACTATTATAGGGTAAATGCCCCACTTTTTCTAATTATTTCTTGTTTTTCTAATTATTTTAAAACCAGTTTTATTTGTTGAGTTCTCAACAAAGGATATTGTCTTACATATATCCAAGGATTATTCTTGTAGGAAGCTATTTTTTATTGGTTCTGTATCTTAGGCGAAATAGTGTCATTATTCCCTAGGGTCCAAAGCAGTGCATCAGTTTGTTTTGGATCAAAGAGCTTTTGTCAGCACAGTATGAGTCTGCCACTCTCTAAGACACCACTTTTATTTCAGAGAGCACACTGTAACCAAATCAGTGCCTTTTTTTTTTCGAAGAAGCCCCACAAACATTGCATCTAGAATACAGAATATGGGAGCTTTTAAGTTGTAAAATAGGTCACTCCCCCATTAAATTTACAGGAGAATCAGGAAAAAAAATAATGCATGCTCTTCAGTAAGAAAACTTATCTGAATGGAAAGTGAGAAGAAAAGGAAGAAGTAGAAGGCTGAACAGAAATATTGAAAATGTATATTGATCTATCACCAAATGGAAAGCAAGAAAATTCTGAAGAAATTTTAGAAAATCAGAAAAGGAAAGGCTAGATTAGCCTCATGAAAATTTATTGACATATATGATTAAGCAGTTCCTACCTCTGAAATGCCCTCTTATCTGTCAACTTGGAGCCGTTTATCAAGTATTTCCTAGCTGAGGGTTTTGTCCTTTTAAGATTTTTCTGAACTCTATTGCTGCAATTCCTGCACCTTCTAGGGTCTCTTTTTACAATTCCTCTCTGAACATCCTGAATAATACTGTTTTATGAATTTATTGTTGTTATCACACCCAGAAGTCATAGAATTTTCTCTCTAACATACTGGAATAGGGAAATATGAAAATATTTTACAGGATTAAACTCACCTGTTGTTTTGACATGCTTTACCTAGCTTCGAAAAATATATACAGAATTACATCTGTCAGGAGACATCCTTAAGGAGGCTTTGCTAAAGTTTCCTAAAATCTGCCAAATCCAGTTTTATAATTTAAAATAAAAAATGATAAATAAAAAGTTTTAACAATAACATAATAATAATATTCTAGATTTCTTTTATCTACCTCAAGTTAACTTTCAAAAATTTCCCTCCCAAGATCCCATGAAACAATCTTTCAAATGAATGCACCTTAATGGGCAGATTAAATTTGTCCTTACTTCATCTTCTTCAACTATACATATGTGATAATGCTTACCTCTTGAATATAGTATTGACATCCATTGACTACTTAGTAGGTAGACTAGAGCATTTGAAACATGGAGCTCAGTGTATTGGTATATTTTATGGCATCAGATCTTATTCAATAAACCATATACATTCATGCTTTTCTATAATTTTTTCTGTATTAACAAAAAGAGTTAGAAATATATGGTGCTCTGGTATGCAAATAATTGGTGTCAATTTAAGCTGTCTTATGAAACATTCTCAGAGATTTTAGGGTTCTAGATCATAGCCTAAATGTTTGAGTCCTGCAGTTACTTTTTTCCAGTTCCTCCTTCCACCCTTAAGAGAAAATGCTTCCATTTTGGGATTGGACAGCCTCAATAGTGATATAAAAAGTTACTGCAGCAAGTGTAACTCATGAAAAAAAAAAAACCCACAGGTGCTATTGCTCTATGCCATCTGCAATACTAACAGTCATTGTCTAAACTAGTTTGGATTACTCTCTCTCAATGTGCTCACTTCTAGAATGCTTTGATTTCAGGGCACTGAACTACTACTGCAACTAATGTTTCTCTATAATTATTGTCACACAGTTATACCATACAGGTAATTCCAGCTTCAACATCATATAACTATTATACCGGCAAACTTTTGAACCTATACAATATAGTCTTGGTCAACATATTTTATTAGGAGATAGCTTTGGTACCTATTATAAATGTATATAAACCACTGTGCACTTGTGATGTATGGTAAAATGTACTAAAGAATAGCAAACCTACCTCCTTTTATTCCCCCATATCAAACCTAGTACAGCCAGTGATTAAATCATGTGTTTTAGGTGCTTCCCTTTATCTACCCTGATTCTGTTATAATGAGAGTCAGGGATTTTTAGGATCAAACTTCTGTGCTATTTTATAAAACATTCTTAATAATTTTGATATTACAAATACCTTAGGTCATCTTGATGATATTTCTTTTGCATGTATCCACACTTTAACATCTATGATACTTTAGGAAGACTTTTTTGTGCTGCTTAATTATCCCTTTTCCTAGTTCTTGTCCTTTTTGGGCCTTGTGAGGAACCATCCACATCTATCCCCACCATTTCCCCACTAATCTTATAGGGTTAGAGTTTAGATTCTTCCATTTTTGGCTGATTCCACATTTTTGTCAATACACAAAGACCTGATCCTCCAATCCTCTGTCATTCTGGTGACTTAAGGTTTCCACTTCTCATTGATGTAGTGTATTTTCTTTGGAACTGCAAAGCAAATATCCATTGACATCACTCAAAGTGCCCCACTTAGTATCCTTGTCCCTATATGTTGAAGGCAGCTCTGTGATCATTCCCTGATCCACTGGTACGTTAGCAACTATTACAACTATTCTATACCATACATAGTACATAACCAAGCTCTTTTCCCAGTGAGCAGTGACTTAAATATGTGTGTGGTTTGTCTTTGTGACACTCTCAAATTCCAGTGTGTCTCTAAACTCTTGGACTTGTAAAGCACTTAGTCCTCAAAATGCAAACGACTTTACGTTTTAGAACAAGTTATTCCTTTTTGTTACTTGTTGCCTGCCACATTTTCAATATATCAGCAGGCTGTTTCAGTCATATTAGAAGGCGTCTTCTCCAGACATTGGAGGATCACCTCTGAAACGCTCGGTTTTTATTTCCGAACTGTTTCTATACTTAACAGATTAACACATTTTCACTGCTTGCCATAACATTTCTGTCCATATTCTAGTGGTGCAGATACCAAGTCCGAGATAGAAAAATTGTGTTATACCCAAGGACTATGATGATATTAGAAATGACACTTCTTTTTCCAGAAAAAAGGTTTAGGCTTTAGGGTTTCAGGGTCTGAGCCTGAGCCAGGCAACTTAAAATGTATATTTTTAGGCAGTTCTTCTTGCAGTTAACTTCCTGAAAGTTATATATAGTTATGTATACATATATTATATATATATAATATCCATATATATATTATATACATAATATCCGTATATATTATATATATATTTTTAGCAAGTTGTGTTAGGACTTCTAGAGACTTGGCAGACTTATCAAAAAGTTTTAGCTATTTTTTGTTGGTTTATAGGTTAGTTTTTTTTTTTTAAACCAACTTTTATTTTAGAGATAGGGAGTACATGTGCAGGTTTGTTTCATGACGCTGAGGTTTGGAGTATGAATCCTGTCACCCAGGTAGTAAGCATGGTACCCAATAGGTACTTTCTCAACCCATGCTCTTGTCCTTCCCTGCTCCTTTCAGTTGTCCCCAGTGTCAGTTGTTCTCATCTTTATGTCCATGTGTACTCAATGTTTTGCTCCCGTTTATAAGTGAGAACATGCAGTGGTTTGTTTTCTATTTCTCTTAATTCATTTAAGATCATGGCCTCCAGCTGCATCTATGTTGCTGAAAAGGACATGACTTCATTCTTTTTAAGGTTGCATGTTATTGCGTGGTATATATGTGCCACATTTTCTTAATGCAATCCACTGCTGATGGGTGCCTAGGTTGATTCCATTTCTTTGCTATTGTGAATAGCACTGTGATGAACATATGTGTGCATGTGTCTTCTTGGTAGAACAATTTATTTTCTTTTGGTTATACACCCGGTAATGGGATTGCTGGGTCGAATGGTGGCTCTGTTTTAACTCCTTTGAGAAATCTCCAAACTGCTTTCCACAATGGCCGAACTAATTTACATTCTCACCAACAGTGTATATGCATTTCCTTTTCGCTACAGCCTTGCCAACACCTGTTAGTAATAATGGCCATTCTGACTGGTGTGAGAAGGTATCTTATTGTGATTTTGATTTTCATCTCTCTCATGATTAGTGATGATGAGCATTTTTTATATATTTATTCACCACTGGTATGTCTTCTTTTGAGAAGTGTCCATGTTATTCACTCATTTTTTAAATGGGATTATTTGGTTTTTTGTTGTTGACTGATTTTGTTTGTTTTTATAGATTCTGGATATTAGACCTTTGTTAGATATATAGTTTCCAAATATTTTGTCACATTCCAGAGCTTGTCTGTTTGCTCTGTTGATAGTTTATTTTGCTGTGCAGAAGCTCTTTAGTTTAATTAGGTCCCACCTGTAAATTTTTGTTTTTGTTGCCATTGCTTTTAGGAACTTAGCCAACAATTCTATGCCAACTATGATGTCATGTTGAGAAAGGTATTTCCTAGGTTTTCTTCTAGGATTGTTACAGTTTGAGATCTTACTTTTAAACTAGATTTGTAATCACCACACAAAAGCCCTGAAATACCTAGAAATATAGCTAACCAATGGGATGAAAGAGCTCCACAAGGAGAACTACAAAACACTGCTGAGATAAATCAGAGATGTCACAAATAAGTGGAAAAACATTTCATACTTATGGACTGAAAGAATTAATGTCCTTAAATGGTTATACTTCCCAAAGCAGTTTACAGATTCAATGCTATTTCTACTGAAATAGCAATGTCATTTTTCACAGAATTAGAAAAAAAAAATCCTATGGAAACAAAAAAGAGCCCAAATCACTTAAACAATCCTAAGCACAAAGAACAAAGCCGGAGGCATCACACTACAGACTTCAAACGATACTACAAGGCTACAGTAACCAAAACAGCCTGGTAATGTTACAAAAACAGTCACATAGACCAACTGGTCAGAAAAAAAGTGCCCAGAAGTAAAGTTTCACATGTACAGTTTTGCTCTTTGAGTTTTAACTCTTTGAGTCTTCTTTTAGTGCTTTTGAGCCCTCTTTCATAATTCTGAATTCTGGTTGCCTGTTTACAAAATTCACCAATGCTGATTTTGGCAGCAAATTTGGCACTGATGCTGGCTTTAGTGATGACATCAGCACCAGCGATAGCTTTGGCAGTGGGCCTAATGTCAGCTTTGGCAGTGGGCCTAATGTCAGCTTTGACAGAGGACTGAGTACCATCATTGGTTGTGGCAGTCATCCCAACTGGCAAACCCAGCTCCAGCAACAGCTTCAATAGTGGATCTTGTTCTATTGTTGGCCTTGGTGGTGGACCAAGCAGTGGTCCTAGCTTCTGCAGTGAACCAAGCACCAGGCTTCCGTGGTGGACTGAGCACTGGTGTTAGGTTTGGTGGTGAACTGGGCACCAGTACTGGCTTTGGCAGTGGAGCCACCAGCCTTGGTGCTTGTGGCTTCACCTATGGCTAGCGAGATTTCAGGTTTATTCCCTATATTTACAGATACCACCAATAGATTGGATCAGTCCTTCCCATGGAGCCAAAGTACATTCTTGGAATCTTTGTCCACACAGCAGTCTAAGCAGTTACAACCAAGCAGTTACAACCAATCAGCTGCAGGGTGTCACGCTATGAAAAATATGTTTGCTGTTTCTTCTTTATTGATTATTTTCTGTATGCTGTCATATTTTGGTATCAGAGTTACAGTAAATTTGTAAAAGAGAAAAAAGATATAAATACGGAATGTTCTGATATGGGTTTAATGTGATGCTTAATTTGTATGATATATTGTAAAAGCAATGTCAGAATTTTTGGAGAAAAGCTGATAAAGTCAAAGGCTGTGTGTTGATGGTCAGACTTTATAACATCTGTTATCTGATGTTGTATAATTATGCTTTTCTTCCTTAGGGCCAGAGATGAGACCAGGCATTTTTTTTCCTTGACCATAATTAAAAACATAATATCATACCATAGTTGCCCCATTCATGTATTTTATCAATAACAAAAAGACTAAAAGTAGTGGGATTGAAGCATGAGGGGTTTTAGGATTTGTTGAACATAAGCATTTCTCTACAGATGACTGAATGAGGGTCAACATATGCTTGCTAATATTATTGATCATCTACTGTGTGCAGAACTAAGCCCTTTATGTGCCTTAATTAAACTAAATCTGACAATAACCCTATAAGATTGCTACTATTACATTCTTCAAAATTACAGATAAATAAAACTAAATGGAAGAGAGGGTGAGTGGCTTGTCTAAGTAACTTGGCAATTAAAAGTTTCAAAATGCTATCCCAGGCAGTCTGATTCCAGAGCTTACCCTCTTATACATTAAGCAATATGGAAAGTCCCCAGCCTGAGTAGTTTGAAAAAAACTAGCCTGGTATTTTCTGCTCTCTAGAATATTTTGCCAATAATATTATCTCCTTCTGTTTTTCTTTAAATGTGTTTCATTAAACAATGATACATTTTTCTAAAATTCAGAATGATTCTGAAGAATGTTTATCTGTCTCTGATAATCAGAATTTAAACAGGACAATGGATGAAGGCCCATCCGTTTAATTTTGAAGGCTGGAGTTGGTATGACCTGCTTCAGTAGTTTTGCTCCAGCACTTTGGGAAGCCGAGGCAGGAGGATCACGAGGTCAGGAGATCAAGACCACCCTGGCCAACATGCTGAAACCCCGTCTCTACTAAAAATACAAAAATAGCTGGGTGTGGCGGTGTGCACCTCTAGTCCCAGGTACTCTGGAGGCTGAGGCAGGAGAATTGCTTGAACCTGGGAGGCAGAGGCTGCAGTGAGCTGAGATCACGCCACTGTACTCCAGCCTGGGTGATAGAGCGAGACTCCATCTCAAAAAAAAAAAAAAAAAAATTGAAGTTGCATCTCCTTTCATAGAAGTCCCCACCCTGCAAATTAGCTCATTATTTTCCTAGGAATTCCTTTTCTTTTTTTTTTTTTTTTTTTTTTTTGGATATGACCAAGGACATTCAGGTTGCTCACTTAGTTGAAATGAATCAGTCTTGATTCCATTGCCTGAAAGTCTGGATCACTCCTGGAATTCTCCTATGCTGTAGCTTGGTCTCTGCAGCCATACTTCATGCTCAAGTGCGTGACACAGGTTGTACTCAGGGATTCACAAAACAGCTAACTTCCTCCAGGTCACTTTCAACTCCCTAACAGCTGAAGGCAAATTATATAATGCAATCAGTAAAGGTCAGAAAGCTCCTCAAAGCTTTAGATATTTAATCTGAATCACTCCCACTTTGTAGTCACCAGCATTCCAGTAAACCAATCTCTTTTGTATGAAATTATTTATCTTCCTTTCTCAAGGATAAGTCTATCTAAAGACTGGCTGCAGTTTTTACTACTAAAGAAAACATAATATCCAAGACCATTTTCAGATTCAAGGACATTAGAGTTTTCTGTTTTTCAAAAAATGGCTGTGTATTTATCATATTACATCTATGTAAATAAAGAATCCGCTTCTCATGTTTTTCCAAAACACAGGGGGTTTGAATAGCAATGCTATCTTTACTTCCATTCTAAGTTGCCAGCATCACCCAAATTCTACCATTAAATATTAGATTGAAAGATTTTTCAAAAAATAATTTAAGCCTTAAAAAATTGTTTATTTTATTTTATTGAAACAAGGTCTCACTCTGTCACCAAGGCTGGAGTACCGTGATGTAATCATGAAATCATGACTTATTGCAGCCTCGACCTCCTGACTCAAGCAAACCTCCGTCTCAGCCTTCAGTGTACCTGGGACTATGGGCATGCACCACAATGCCCTGCTAATTTTTATATTAATATTATTATTTTTTGTAGAGACATAGCCTTGTTATTTTTCCCAGGCTAGTCTCAAATTCCTTGCCTCAAACAATCCTGCTGCCTTAGCCTTTCAAAGTGCTGAGATGACAGGCATGAACCACCACACCCAGCCAAAAGAATTGATTTTATATACTGAAGACCTTTAAATAACTGACGTGGGATTCACCACAATGAATCCTATAATTTTCCATATGAAGTATGTCTATCATGGTCATTTGTTATCTCAGGAATAGAAAACAAAAACAATTTTTAAATACATATATCTATTTCTATTGTTGTTATTGTTGCTATTAAAGGCACACATTTCTACCAAAATGTGGTACTGGACCATATTCATTAATATTTAGTAGGCTGGGCGCAGTGGCTCACACCTGTAATCCCAGCACTTTGCAGGGCCAAGGTGGGCAGATCACCCGAGCTCGGGAGTTTGAGACCAGCCTGACCAACACGGAGAAACCCCATCTCTACTAAAAAAATACAAAATTAGCCAGGCATGGTGGTGCATGCCTGTAATCTCAGCTACTCGGGAGGCTGAGGCAGGAGAATCACTTTAACCCAGGAGGTGGAGGTTGCAGTGAGCCGAGATTACACCATTGCACTCTAGCTTGAGCAGCAAGAGTGAAACTCCATCTCAAAAAAAAAAAAAAAAAGCCCCAAAAAAATTTCGTCTCTCAGGATGTCATTACTCCAGTATTATTGCTTGGTGACTTGGGGTAATTCGCTTCAAAGTCCTTTGCTTCCATTTCTTCATCTTTGTAACAGAAGGAATTATAAAAAGTACTATGGGATAAAATTAAGCAATGTAAGTAAGGCAGCTAGTACAATGTCATGTAAATATCAAGTATTAAATTTAGGAATAGTAATAACTGTAGTAGTGTAGCTGTTGTTGTAGAAATATATCTAAAGTGTGGTTGGATATCATTTAAGACCTATTCTTAATTATGTCAGTTCTAAGAAACAATATTATGGATCCTAGAATCTCAGTATCTTAGAATCATAATTTTCTGCTTGGATTTCTAGCACATATAATATTTATTTTACCATTTATTAAATAAAAGGAAATAACAAACTATTTTTATTTTCATTTCATTGATCTTGTTCCAATTGTATGAGAATTTGTCATACATAATTTTGCAAAGGAATGGCCTTGAGTAGTCAATATACATAATATTAATGTTGCTATCTATGTACAAAGCAACTTAACAATCAGCTGTCATAGAGATAATTGCTATGGTCATTATCTGTAGAATGTATTGTTTTACCTGGGTGTTCTTTTTTCAGAGAATTACTAATTTTTTAGATTTATTTTATGGTGTTTATAAATTTCTTATATATGTTTTTCCATTCATAAATGAGAAAAATTGAAGCTCAAAGATGTTGAGTAATGCTTATAAGATTGACACAGATAAATGTCTGTGCTTGTATGTGGATGTGTGTGTACGTTTATGTGTGACAGAGAGAGAGAGAGAGCTGCCATTGAACATATTAATCAGAAAGTTTCAGCATATGTATTTTTATAGAGTTTATTCATCATCTTTGTGTCATAATATAAAAATAATTTATTATATTCCTTCTTATGTTACTTTCTGTTTGACACTAACAATTACAATGCAACTCATAAGAATAAATAATTCCCACATAGAAAAAGTTAACATTACAAGCGAATTTGAAAGACTAAGCTTTGTAGTTTTATGCAGTGTTTATACCATAGCTCGTCACAAAATAGAAATAACCAAGTAAATGTAATAAGTTTAAGAAAAAGTATTAAATGAGAAACAAAGAACAAAATATAATCTTCCATTTTCTCTTAGCAGAGTGCTTTATACCATAAATCCACCTGGTTCAAACTGAAGATAGATTAATCATTTTCTGTGAGCTTTCAGGTTTTGCAACAATTAATTACTCAATTGGGGAAAAAAACAACAACTTATTCTCAAGAAAATACATTTCATCCCCTAATTATTGGCCAAACCAATTGTTCATTGAGTTTGGACTAACTGAGGCTCTTTTTCAACAACTCCTCAATTTTCAGACATTTCTAAGAGTATGTACATGAGTGCATGCATGCACGTACACACACACACACACACATATGCATGCACACGCACACACGACCTCATTTGTCAGAAGATATTACTTAAATAATGCATCTCAATAAAACTATATGCTTTGAGGGAAAACCAACACTTGTGGAGATGCAAAAAGTAACACAAATTAAACTTTATGTAAGTAGAGAGAAAGGGGGTATGTTTATTACACATTGGAAAAAAGAACAAAGTATATATGGAATTACTAGATAAAGGGTATTGAGTCATAAAAGTGCTTAGACTTAGTTGCCAAGTAACATGATGGGAGAAATTGAATTTTTAAAGGTGTAGGAGTGAAAGTTACATTTTTAATTAAATTGTCTGCCCAAAATACAAGCATTACAACTATTTATTATGTGGTAGAAGAGAATTAAGTTTGGAATTTGAGATACATCAAGAAAAATAGAAAGCAAATATTCACTGAAATCTCTACTAATACTCTCTTCTGTAAATAGAGATCATCCTTGTGACCCACTTGTTTCTCTGAATGAATTTTGTGGCCAAGTATAAAGTTTAGCTTGAGGTTCCCTCTCTTAAATTCATGAAGTGTTGAGGACACAGGTCTGAGGTGTATACGAAGTCAAAAGCAAAGCTAAATTAGAATTTCAATTGAAATTTTGTACACATTATTATCCTATATGCACTAAGTAGCCTGAATAAGTATGCTGACATACTATCTGACATGATAGTAGGTGCCTAATACTTGCTCTTTAAATGAATTAATACCTTCTCAAACACTTTCTTGAAAAATATCTGCTTTATTTTGCATTATCATGTGTTTTTTAAAAGAAAAACACTTCTTTCCTGAAATTATGTTTATAAGGATTTGAATATTGAATATATCAAAGCTATGAATTTGTGATTTTAATATATTCATATTTTATGAAGTTTTTCAGTTTTTATAAATAAAAGGAAAATATAATTTTAACCTTTTAGCTCTTATTTAAAAAATGTGATAAAAGATTTTCTTTCAGAACTGATTTAAACTTCATACCATTTCAAATCTGCCTTTCTAGATAAAGCATAAATTTAAATTCATAAAAAAAGAATTGAAATTCATAAAACAGATATTGTATATACTAGTTAAAGTGATTAGTGAGGTAGTTACAGAGAAAATTTATTTTCAGACTATCCAGAAACCGATAACACGTGTTCAGAGATAGCCCAATTCAAAGTGACATTTGAGCCAATATTCCAAGAATGATCTTCCTACTCTCAGCTCCATACTACAAAACCACATTATTTGAGGGCTTTATTTTTCATAGCTTTACTATGATTCCTCTCTTATTGTGATGAACTTTATGTCCAGAAGAAAATAAACTGAAATCCTAGTGGAAGATCAGGTGACATATGATGTTGGACAGACCCCAAGGAGGTAGACTCAGGCTTCCCGGGGATTCTATTTTATAAACTGGGCCAAGAAATATAAGAGCTAGAGCCTGTACCATAAAAAGATGTAAGATAGCAAGCTGATTTTATGAAAACCTTACAGCAAAGAAGAGCAAATGTGATTACCAAAATAAAGTCTTAGTTAAGACTAGAAATAAGTTAATTCTATCAGCTGCACATGGAAACTCTAACTTTACGAAAGTAAACTAGATTTGAAATGGTGCTTCATTATTTTTTATATTTGCTCTTGTATTTTTTGATTTCCAAAGGAAATTATTATAACATTTTTGTATCATCATTTGTAAACTCATTATTTATAAATACAAACCTGTTTGTATCACCATCATTTAAAAATTCAACAGTAATTAGCATCCACATAGGATTATTTGGAGAATTAAATCTAATAATACATGAAAAATCCCAATACATTTTCCAACTTAGAGAAAGCATTTATAAATGTTAGCAGCCATTATTAATATGTAATTATACACAATGTCTCAGAATGTGTCAATTATTAAATTGTTACCCAGAATTGAATGCAGCACTATGCATAAGAGTATACCTTTTATTTTCTGGTCACTCTAAGAAAAATTGAGAGGATAAATTAAATATCATTGTCTCCTACAGGATTTTAAAAGATCTAAATTCATCTCCCTCTGCATTAGAAATCTCACCTGCTTACTTTTATCTCATGAGAAGTTGTCAAACCACATGCAATTTTATGCCATCACTTTGTTCTTCGTGACCAACTCCAATTTGGGTTATACTGTGTTTTTCTGAATGATTATCTCAGTTTTCCCCTTTTGATGCTGATGTTGATGGGAATTTAGTAGATTTCCACCATTACCCATCATTTAACTGTAGTTTACTGTATCTGTCTGTATTAGAAGTAGTTTTTTTCTCCTTTGTGAGTCCAAAGCACTCTGTACAGGTTGAATATCCTCTATCCAAAATGCTTGGAACCAGAAATGTTTTGGATTTGGGATTTTTTTCAGATTTTAGAATATTTGCCTATGCATACTGAGATATCTTGGGGATAGGACCCAAGTCTAAACACAAAATGTATTTATGATTCACATATGCCTTATACACATAGCCTAAAGGTAACTTTATATATTTTAATAATTTTGTGCATGAAACAAAGTTTATGTACATTGATCATCAGGAAAAAAAGGTGTCACTACCTTAGCCACCCATGTGAACAATCTGTGATTGTTTGGCATCAATATCATTCCTGACTGAATTTATGTGCAAACAGTATGCAATCATTTTCTTACACGCATGCATACACAAGTACTTAACAGCAAAAATATGACATACTACTAATACAGTGAAAAAAAATGTGTTCAGGGTAACTAAGCAGCACAGTAGCACCACCAGAATATCTATATCAATTGTTAAACAACAACAAAAATAAAACAATGGCAGCTTCTCCATCTCCACCTGCAATGCTGTGTTTTGATTAAGAGGTAACCATACACCTTATTTCAATTCCTTTTTCTTTTTTCTTTTTCTTTTTTTTTTCAGGTGAGAAGAAACATCAGAAACAGTTGAGGGACCAGAAAATAGGTCCTCTAGGGATGAGAAGGCATTTTACTGAATGGCTTTCTAAATTGTTCCCTCCAGAGTCATTGGCCTTGTAAATGAAAGATTTTTTTCTTAGAAGTCTTTCTTTGGTTTTATAAACTCACGTTTCCTTGTTCTGTTATGAATGCTTATTGCTCTAGTCTTTCAATAAGCCCATCACACATTTTCTCAATTCTGTCTATAGGCACCATATCTGCAGTGTTAACAATGTCATCTTCATCATCACTATTTTTATGATTACCTTGATTCAAAATCATTTTGGCTATTTCACCATCAGTCAATGAATGAACAACTGTAGCCTCACTATTAATGTTAAGAAATTTTTGATATTCACTTCTTCCAGCTTACATTGTGACAGGCCCTGAAGGAATATTTTTTTTTGCATATGCAAAGAGGTCAGACCTCATGTTTTTTCTCACTTGACAAACAGAATCCTTTAAAATCATCACCCTGTTTATTATTATAACTGAATATGTTGTGCCAGTCATGCACCACTGACGTCTTATTCACTGTGTTCCCAGCATTGGCAACATCCTATATGACATACTTCATGCTAAACTCCTCTAGAAAGCCTTCTACACTCACACTCCTGTTCGCTGCTGCTAGCGTGCTGTTCAAGAAAGTTTTTTCTTTTCAATTTACTCTTTATCGTTTTAAGGATACTCCGTCACATACCTGAATTAATAAAGTCACACTGGGCAAAAGTACATTGTGTAAACATTATTTTTGATGAGAATTTTAGCTGAAGAATGAGCAGAAGAGTTGTCAAGGAATAAAAAAATAATCTTGCAGTCATCATCTAAACCAGCTTTCCTGCAGTCAGCACAAGCTGCTTTTACAAATGTTTGTGAAACCAATCGGAAAAGATGTCCCTAGTGATCTACCTCTTTTGTTAGCATAATAATGGACCCGTAAAGGATTCACTGCTTAAAAGCAGTGAGGACACCAGCTTTTGCCTATCGCAGCATGTTTATGCTTATGTATCCTCGCTGCATTAGTACATCCCAGCACAGTTATTATGTCCTTGACATCCTTAATTTCTGCTGGCTGGCTTATCAGCTGTAGTAAGTGTCCTTCCAGGGTAATAATGCTAAAATAGGTTGTTCATCAGCATTACAGACTTCTTCTGTTGTCAGATTTTCACCATTGTAGCAAACTCGATGATGAAATTCTCTGCTGCTTCATGATCAGCAGATGTTTTGTCAACACAAATCTTTAAAAATGTAACACCATGTGTTTTCTTAAATTTCTGCAACCAGTCTGTTGAATATTCACAGTCCCCTTCCACTTTCAGTTCGTCATGCTAGATCTTTATTTCATTGTCAGCACACCATTAAGTGGCATGTGTTCACTGTGACACTGACAGATCCACTTTTTCAATACACAATTGAGATCTTCATTTTTAGTTTTATGTAGTGTTTTTCTCTTTTGTTAATTAACTTCTGTTCATCACCTTCAGCATAAATCTTCAATGGTTTATTCTGCTACTTCTGCAGGTCATTTTTGGTGTTCATTCCAATGCCACACTCTTCTGTGAAATGTTTCACACTTATACTGCTGTTTAGTTTCTTCAACAGCTGGACTTCCTGGGCTGTAGATAAACATACATGCTTCTTTTTTCTTTTTCTTTTTTTTTTTTTTTTTGAGATGGAGTTTTGCTCTTGTCTCCCAGGCTGGAATGCAATGGGGCAATCTTGGCTCAATGCAACCTCTGCCTCCCAGGTTCAAGTGATTCTTCTGCCTCAGCCACTCGAGTAGCTGGGATTACAGGCACCGGCCAACACACCTGGCTAATTTTTATATTTTTAGTAGAGATGGGATTTCACCATGTTGACCAGGCTGGTCTTGAACTCCTGACCTTAGGTTATCCATCAGCTTTGGCCCCTCAAAATGCTGGGATTACAGATATGAGCCACCGTGCCTGGCCCATGCTTTCCTTTTCCTTACCACTGTTACCCATGGGGTATCTGCTGGCCGTTTTTACATTTACAAAAATATATTTACATCACAGAGCAGAGAATAAGAAAAACACCCAGTGAGTAATGCATGTAGGTCTTGGCCCTATGTGGGGCAAGTTGGGACACCTGCCATTGGCACATCCAGCCTCAACACGCACCACTTTATTACACTTTGTGGACATGCTTACATGGGGGAATCCAGGCATGTGCAGAAAATACATATCACATCTGAAGGGGGCTGGAAAGGTCTTTTTTCCATTAGGGATGCCGAATAAACTGTGTGTTGTATACCTGCATTTTGACTGCAACCCATTACACAAGGTCAAGTGTGAAATTTTCCACTTGTAGCTTTGTGCCAGCACCCAAAATGTTTCAGATTTAAAGCAGTTCAGACTTTGGATTTTCAGATTAGAGACATGGAACTTGTGTCTAGTATCATCCTTATTTTCAGCTCAAGGTTTACTTACTTGAGGTTTCTTTCCCCTTCTGAACTTGAGCTTCCCCTCTGACAACACCCATTTTCACCCTTATCTGTGTCTTGTAAAAGTTCATTTTGAAAGAATGTTTTTAAAGATTAATTTGACCACAGCATTTTCCATACAGTAAGTGGTGTTGAAAGTGAAGTTTCAGATTTCCTCACTTCTGTCATCTTCTAGGGCCCTGAGAGATGCCCAAGCAACTATTTCACATGCAAACAGATTGTTATAAAACTAAAAAAACTAAAATATTCTAAGCAATATCCAGTATGACAGCTTTGCTCTTCCAATGTGTCCTTCATCACATTCCCTTCCTGCTAAATGGTGCTGAAGTGGCTTCATGGGAAATTGAGATGCCTATGGACACTTAGTTTAAGATTAGTGGAGTTTAGGTTTCCATGTACTCTTAGTATAGGCGCATTACTGTATGTGCCTATGTGTGTCTGTGTGTGTGATTTGCGTGAACCTCTGTGTGTATCTAAGTTATATTGCTCACCACACTGATGTAAGAAGAGTTTTCATTCTGTTGACTCACATGGATGATAATGCATTCAGAGTTAGAGTTTCTTTCAGGAAATCAATTTATCTTATAGCTTTGATGACCAGAAATATGTGAGCAGGGGAGAAAGAATAAGGTTTAAATTGTATGAAGACAAATTTTAAAAATTTTATAAAATGTTATAGCTTGTATATGGAAGGCACTTGATAGAAATACTTCCATATTTTACAAAAATCCTAAACATTTGGGATAATACCAATAAAAATTTGTGAACTGAAAAAAATGTATTAAAACCATTCTAGAAAAATGGATGGATTGCCTGTTTATTCTAATGTGGAAATAATATTACAAAAGTATTAACTTTGAAGATATAATCAAAGGCTATGTTGCTAAACATGAAAAATATCAATAGGAATATTTCTGGCATTTAGTTAATGAAAATGTTATAATAATTTTGTGTATATAAACTGTTCATCAAAAATCCAATGATTCAAGTGCACTTAGTTCTAAGATCACACTTTAAGGACACATATTGCACATCTTTCATACTTTTCATAACTTTCACAAAAACATAATTTTTATGTGAGATACTATTTTCACTTTTTGCTTGGGTAACCCATGAAAAGGAAGCCAGAATATAAAAAATAACTACTGTTCTTTATTCTAATGATATTTACATATCCCCTACCACTTAGAATTTGGAAATAAAAAAAATTCTTTCTATAGAATCTGACAAATTGCAAAAAAAAAATACTAATGACAAAGACATGAAGATTTTTCCTATCTGGAAAATGAACAGGACATGTTATTCAGGTGGAGGTCGGTAGGCAGAGTCAAAGACTAACTTTCTTCATTTACAGAAGTATATTCTATTGCCCCTCACTGTTCTCCTATTGGCTAAAAAAGCCCACATTTTTGTACTAATTCTGTCACCTTCTAATATTATTTTTAAAACATTCACGTGGCATTTTTTTCTAAATGCTATGTTTCTCTGACGCTCATGTTTTCAATCCCTCTCCACAGGGCACATAAACTGATACCATTAACGTTCATTACCTAAAAGTTTGCTATTGTACTCGCCACTTTTCTCTATACCCAACCCCTGCCCCTGTTCTGCTTTTGACTTGGTTGGAGTCAATGGCTACATGGCTAGAAAATCTGTAACCACATTTCTAACAACTTTAATATTTATTATACTCCATTTCACACACATAATTGGGAGATGCTGGTACCTGTCATCACCTGAGATGCTGCTCCTGAAAAACATGACATTTATATTTCTCTCTGTCTAGAAAGAAATGCTTCTCATGAGAATCCTCATCATGGCACTTGTTGTAAATAGCAAAATCAATTAAATAATTACAAAACGTAAGATATACCATGAAGAAAACAAAAAGGCATGTTAGGCTGAGAGAGGGTGCAGATGCACAATGTTTCAGAAAAGTAGAATTTTTATGGAGCTCAAAGAATAAATGCTACTTAGTCAACATACTTATCATCAAAAAATATTCTCTGTATGAAGTTAACCCTGTGAAAAGTACTAAAATCTTAGTTTATAATATATAATATAATGTAATAAATATTTGTATTATATATTATATAATAATAAAGCTTGGAGAATATATACATATATTGAAAAAATGTATTTTGGAATTGTTCTTTAAAGATGTCTAATAATTCCAAACAATATAATGTATGTTCTTAAAGGTAAAAATCATTCTTTTTTGACTTCTAAGTAAAAGTTCTTATTTGAGTGTTTTCTTTCTTAAAAAAGAATCGTATTCTATTGTTTACATTAACTGATAAAATTGTACATATTTAGTGTATATAACATGCAGGTCCCCGCATCTCCCAATAGAAATATGTGTGTGAAATGGAGTGTAATAAATATTAAAGCTGTTAGAAGATGTGGTTTTAGATTTTCTAGCCATGTAGCCATTGAATCCACCCAAGTCAAAAACAGAACTGGAGGAATAAGTATAGAGAAAAGTGTGGAGTACAATAGCAAACTTTGAGGTAATGAAAGTTAATGGTCTCAGTTTATGTGCCCTGTGGGGAAGGAGTGTATATAACATGATATTTTAAAGTAATGCATATATGAACTGGCTATATTGGAATGACTATAGCCAGTTCACATACACATTACTTCATCTGGTTATCATTTTTGTAGAGATAACACTTTCCATCCACACTCTTAGCATTTTTTAAGAAGACAAATACCACATGATCTCACCCATGTGTGGCATATGATCTTATAGTAGAAAGTAGAATGGTGGTCACCAGCGGCTGGGGTGGTTATGGGTTGAGTGGAGTGTTGTGAAGATATTGGTGAAAAGATACAAAATTTTAGTTAGACATAAGGAATATGTTCAAAAGATTTATTGTATAACATGGTGACCACAGTTAATATATATTTTATGTTTAAGTTTGCTTAAAAGCCTATATGACTGCATAATATTGAAAGTCAAGAGCTTTTGTTTCCCCCAATATAGTAGTGAAAAGTGTCGTAGATCCTCATTCTTTACAACCAAGGACAGAAATAAAATGAATAATTTTCAAACCTTATAGTTAATATGGCACTTCATAATTATTAAGCCATTCCTATCCTCTAAGAGCTATACTAATTCTTTTATATGCATTAACTTATTTTTTCAAACCTCCAGGTACCTACTCAATATTTTCACATTACTTATATCTTAATGATAGCTCAAACTTTATACTGAACTTAAAGCAAAATGTTTAAATTCAATTACCACACTTTTCTCCCTTATCTCCTAATTTGCATATCATTAAACGACATTACAATTGACAAATTATTTATGGCAAAGTTTACTCTAAAAGGTCAACAGCCCTCTCCCAGTAATTATTAGAAAAAGTACTGAAAAAAAAATTCAGTAAGAATGCAAAGGGGGCCTGGCGCCCTGGCTCATGGCCGTAATCCCAACACTTTGGGAGGCTGAGGTGGGCGGATCACCTGAGGTCAGGAGTTCGAGACCAGCCTGGCCAAGATGGTGAAACCCCGTCTCTACTAAAAATACCAAAATTAGCCAGGCATGGTGGCGGGCGCCCATAATACCAGCTACTCAGGAGGTTGAGGCAGGAGAATTGCTTGAACCCAGGAAGCAGAGGTTGCAGTGAGCTGAGATCGCGCCATTGCACTCCAGCCTGGGTGAAACAGTGAAACTCTGTCTCAATAAAAAAAAAAAAAAAAATTCAAAGGATTTAAGCTTGTCACCAATTTGATCTAACTCACAATGAAAATATAATTTTTATAAGAAACAACAAGCCAACAAGCATACATCTCACAGACATGTTGTTGAGTAAATGAATACTGGATGATTCTTGTTTTCTAAAATTCTAAAATAGGAAAAACTAATCTATGGTGATTTAAATCACAACAGTGGTTGTTTTTTTCACATGGGAGGAAGTGACTGCAAAGGGTAACATGGGAACATTTGGGATTAAAGAGCAGTTTCTCTCTATAAATAAATATAGGTTGCTTGGTGCAATTCACAGATATTTATAATTTTTAAAACTTGACTTAATGTACGTTTAAGAATAGAACTATGTATGATGGAAATGCCTTTTTAAAAAGAACTCTTGACGTCTGCATCTGTTATACTATTTCCTATGAACATTTCTGATCCTCTGTATGCTTCTTCCTTTTATTTGAATACTTTGTCCATTTCAGCTTAATATTATTGATACGTTTGGGTTTGAGTCTACCGTGTTTGCATTTGTTTTCTATTATTCTCTCTCCCTCTGTCTTTCTCTGTCTCTGTTTCTGTCTCTCTCTCTTCCTCCCTGTCTCCCTCTCTCATCTATTTTGCCTAAATAACTAAAAGATTACAATATATTTTCTTAATTTATCACATTTTACTTTAAAGCAGTGTTACATTAATCTACAAAAATAGAAATGCATTATTACTGTGTGTGTACTTTAATCTACTGCCTCCCTCATCTTTTTTCCTACTTTGCCATATATTTTATTTCTGTAGACATTTACTTTTACAGATAACTACTTTAAATACTTATGCTTTAAATAAATTAGTTTTCATATTTACATATATTTTTACCACTTCCAGCACCCTTCATTTCTTCCTGTAAATCTAAATTTTAACAAGTACTATTTCTCTAACTCTGAGAAATTTCTTTTAGGAATTCATATAAATTAGACATAATTTATGTGAATTCACATAAATTCACATAAGTTAGAATTCAAAGGTGAGGAATGATTTCAGATTTTATTTAAATAAAGTGTTTTATTTTTCCTTCATGATTTTGAAGTTGTCTCTTTCTCGGTTTTTGTTTTTTCACCTGAAATTTACTATAATGTGCCTTAGTGTGGTTAATTTGATATTTATCCTACAGGGATTTGCTAAGCTCTTTGAATGTGTTTCATCACATTTGAAAAGACTTTGGTTATCATATTTTCAAACTTTTGGTTATTATGTTTTTAGTCATTTTAGGATTTCAGTTATATATAATTTAGTTTGATTGTATAATTCAGTTTTATATAGTATAATATTTTTAAATTTAATTCTCTGGATTACAATTGTTTGGTTTAATATTTTTATTGCTTAGGACTAGAATTTTGTGGGTTTTTTTAATTTTTATTTTTCTCTCCTGAAATTGCCCATCTCTTTACAAAGTACATTAATATTTTTCTGTAAATTATTTAACATATTTATAACTTTTAATTTCATGGTCAGCTAATTCCAATAATTAGATAGCTGTGTCTTCTTGTATAGACTGTTTTGATTTTGATTATTTCACTTATTGTGCATAAAAATATATGGGGAAAGAAGTTTGCTTCTGACTTGCTTTGTATTGCTTATTTTCAAGAGAATGCAAGCCATTTTCTCTGTTCAACACTTGGGCAAATTAGCTCAACACACCACCTCCTCCCATCCTCATAGAGATGTGTCTAGAATTCAGATGAAATTCATTTGTTAATCTACATGCTTTAGTTAACTATTGTCACATAAGTTATCACTCAACATTAAGTAGCTTAAGACAATAATATATAGTTTTTTCAATTTCAGAGTCTTTGTGGGTCAGTAGTCCAGGTGCAGCTTAGCACCTCTGGCTCTGAGTTTCATACTAGTCTTCATCTATGCCAACACTTAACTAGAAAGGATCTGCTTTGTTACTCATTCACGTGGTTGTTGACAGGATTTAGTTTCTCATTAATTGTGGGGGTAAAGACTTAGTTCCCCTAAGTTGTTGGTGAGATTCCTCCTTCAGTCCCTTCTAACAAAGGGCTTTTTGAAAGCACCTCACAATATGGCTGCAAGCTTCATCAGTGCAAGCAAGAGAGAAGAAAAACGAGTGCCAACAAATGGCAGAGTGCTAGCAAGAAAGACGTTATAGTCTTTTGTAATCTGGTCATGGAAGTAACATCACTTTGGCATATTCTATTTATTCAAAGAAAATCAATAGATTCAGTGCACAAAGGGAGAAAATTACACAAAACTGAATTCTAGGAGAAGAAGACAATGATACACATTTCAAAAGTTGCCTACCAGACTGAAGCTTCCAGATCACTAGAAGTTTTCTCCCCCTCCCCCTCCTCATCCTCCTCCTCATCTTCCTCCTCCTCCTCCTAAATGATGATATTTGAGCTCAGAGAGTTATGAACTACAATATAATACTTTTTTGGTCACTTTAAACACTCAAAGGACACCAGATCCTAAGCACTATAATTTTGCATGCAACTTCTTGTTTGTTAGCCCACTGTCATGACCTGTTCCAGCAAAATTCAGATCAGGAATGGGGAGAGAATAGGTGTATATTTTCTCATGAAGCCTGTCTGCTTGACTGACAGGTGGCTGTCGTATTGCTTTGTCCTTACCTGGCTTCTTCTTCTTTTTTTTTTTTTTAGATGGAGTTTTGCTCTTGTTGCCCAGGCTGGAGTGCACTGGTGCCATGTTGGCTCACTGCAACCTCCGCCTCCCAGGTTCAAGTGATTCTCCTGCCTCAGCCTCCTAAGTAGGTGGGGTTACAGGCATGAGCCACCATGCCTGGCTAATTTTATATTTTTAGTAGAGACGGGGTTTCTCCACGTTGGTCAGGCTGGTCTCGAACTCCTGACCTCAGGTCATCTGCCCACCTTGGCCTCCCAAAGTGCTGGGATTACAGGCGTGAGCCACCGCACCCAGCCACCTGGCCTTTTCTTTATGCTGTGCATCCCTGGTGAATCCTTCTCCTCCTATAAGGACAGCACTTGGATTGGGGCACCACTCTCCAAGTACAGCCACACAGGGGGCTTCAAAATATGAATCCTGGGGGAACACAATTCAGTCAGTCCACAACAGTAGGTGTACTAGTCAGGGTTCTCTAGAAAACAGAACTAATACGATAGATGTATATATTAAGGAGTATCGACTGGCACGATCATAAGGTGAAGTCCCACAATAGGCTGTCTGCAAGCTAAGAAGCAAGGAAACCAGTCTGAGTCCCAAAATCTCAAATCTCAAAAGTAGAGAAGCTGACAGTAGAGAAGCTTCAGCCTGTGCCTGAAGGCCTGAGAGCCCCTGGCAAACCACTGGTGTAAGTCCAAGAGTCCAAAACTGAAGATCTGTCCAATATTTGAGGGCAGGAAGTATCCAGCATGGGAGAAAGATGGAGGCCAGAAGACTCATCTAGTCTAGTCCTTCCTGTTCCTCTGTCTGCTTTTTTTTTTTTTTTTTTCATTGAGAGGAAGTCTCGATCTGTTGACCAGGCTGGAGTGTATTGGCAGGATCTTGGCTCACTGCAACCTTCCCTTCCTGAGTTCAAACAATTCTTCCACCTTCACCTCCTGAGTAGCTGGGATTACAGGTACTCGCCACCATGCTTGGCTATTTTTTTTTATTTTTAGTAGAGATGGGGTTTCACCATGTTGACCAGGCTGCTCTTTAACTTCTGACCTCAAGTGATCCACCTGCCTTGGCTTCTCAAAGTGCTAGGATTACAGGTGTGAGCCACCGCGCCAGCCCCTCTGCCCACTTTTATCCTAGTTGCACTGGCAGCTGATTATGTGGTGCCCACCCAGATTGAGGGTGGGTCTGCCTCTCCCAGTCCACCAACTCAAATGTTAATCTCCTTTGGCAACACACTCACAGACACATCCAGGAACAATACCTTGTATCCTTCAATCCGATCAAGTTGACACTCAGTATTAACCATCACAGCAGGCATGAGATAAAAGTGTCCAGCTGAAAATATTTTTAGTATGTCTGGTGCTCTAAAGATCCTATTCCATATAGAAAGCTCACACGTTCCTCTTAGACTCATTGGATTGTTTCTCATACGTGGGAAGTATCTCCATCTATTTCTAACTCTGCTCTTCTCTACTTACATCCAGGATCAGGTGCTTGCCCTGGGCATGAGACCTTCCAAACCTGTCTCCCCACTTATGAAATATTTCTTTTTTGGAATTCAGTTCTCCAAAGTGTTGTTATGTTTAGCACTTTTAACCAATAATTTATAAAAATAATTTTTTGTTTTGTTAATTTTTTCTTGTTTCTAAACTTGTAGCAAAAATGTTTCATGCCTTTCTTCATCCTATGAAAACTGAAATCCAACAATTATACTAAACATTACACTAAATATATAAACAGACAGAATGGGTCTGCATAGCATTCTCTCTTTAGTGTGTTACCAAATATAGTATAAGGAAATGTCTCTTTACTTAGGACATCACAGAAAAAAAGGTTTTTCCTCCTGTCTTAAAATCCAGTACTTCCTTTTAATAATCAGTTGAGTTTTTTCTTCTTAAGTTACACAGCACCTTTCAGTAGAAAAACATGTTTTTCTTCTTTCAGTTTCATCTTCAACGAGTTTCCTTGGACATCAATTATGTGTGGCTCATTATTAAGTACCAAAAATACAGACGTGAATTAAACAATGTCGTTGTATGCAGGGAGTTGATAATCTAGAATAAAACAAGTATTCTGCTTTTAAATGTACATAAAGATTATCTATACATCAAATGACCACTAACCCTAATGTTTCAAAAATGCCCTTACTACCCAAAATTATCTACAGATTTAATGCAATCCTTATCAAAATTCTGATGTCTTTTTTCACAGAAATAGAAAAAACAATACTAAAATTTATCTGGAACCTCAAAAGACCTCAAATAGTCAATGTACTCTTAAAAAATAACATAACTGGGAACATTACGCTTCCTGATTTCAAATTATGTTATACAACTATAGAGATCCAAATGTGGAGTACAATCTATGACTTATGAAAGTTTGAACAATCATATTCTGATGATGAATTGCCCACCTTGCATCTTACCTCATGCATTAGGACATCACACTTCCTGATTTCAAATTACATTGTAAAGCTGTAGAGATCCATATGTGGGCTAAAATCCAGGACTTAACGAAGGTTTGAACAATCACATTCCTATGATGAATTGTCCACCTTGCTCCTTACCTCATGCATTAACACACCTAATCACTGTTACATCATAGCATTGAAGAAAGTGGAACTATGCTCTGTTATTGATGCTTGATAGAATGTATGCTGTTGGGAGGAGAGTGACCACTGTGTTTTGCATAAGATTTTCATCTTTTTTAATAGCAGAAAAAAATTCTACTGTTTTAATAGTAGTAAAATAGTAGAAAAAATAGTAGAAAAATTTTAATAGTAGAAAAAAGTTGAGAGAAAGTGACACTTACCCAGAAATATAAATTCTTTTTTTTTTCTTTTTTTTTTTTTTTTGAGATGGAGTCTTGCTCTATTGCCCAGGCTGGAGCGCAGTGGCATAATCTCTGCTCACTGCAACCTCTGCCTCCCAGGTTCAAGCGAATCTCCTGCCTCAGCCTCCCGAGTAGCTGGAATTACAGGCGTCCACCACCACACCTGGCTAATTTTTGTATTTTTAGTAGAGACGGGGTTTTGCTGTGTTGGCCAGGCTGCTCCCCAACTCCTGACCTCAGGTGATTTGCCCACCTTGGGCTCCCAAAGTGCTGGGATTACAGGCGTAAGCCACCATGCCTGGCCTTAAATTCTTTTTCAAAATATCTGCCTCTGAAACGGAATTACAGGCAAGATATGCCAATTAGATATTATAACTGTAATATCATAGCCTAAAGTGATGGACCAGACCACATTTCCAAAAGCAGAATCAGACTCTCCTTTTTCTCATTTCCTTACGACTAGAGAAAACATATTTAGCTCTCGGTATTTTTGCCCTGCCAGAGAGGAGTGAGGGGATTGGTCTTGATTCTCTTTAGGGTTAATGTACACCATAGTACCATAGATATTCAAGAGAAAAGGATAGAAGTTCTGGAGACATTTGATAGGTTTGAAAATTCTGTCTCCTGAGTTGTCTGGATAGGTGAATCTAAAGGGTTTGGCAAGTACAACTGCAATTCAGGCAGTAGTTATTCTCAGGATCCCTACTTTGAGAAGCAAAATTGAATGGTGGTGGAATAGACAAAGCCCAAACACTTGGATGTTAGGAAGTCCTTTGTCTTTTAGCCATGAGGCCAGGCTTTTGAGTAAGGCTTTGGCCCTGGGATGGAACTAGAATTCTAGTTGGAAGAATCCGTGGAAGGATGCATGGTAATGTAGTAAGAGCACAGATTCGATGTCAAGAATGTCTAGGTTTTAGTCCTACCTGTTAAACATGGCTCTGACAAGTTACTTGGACTCTCTCTTCTTCAGCTTCCTCTTGTAAAATGAACATATTTTGAGGTGGCAAGAATAGTTTTGAGAAGGTTAATATGTAAAACAGTGCCAGACCATGATAAGCTCTATTTATGTTTATTCTATTAATATTAATTATATCAACTTAAATTATCATTAATAATTAACAAGAACACAATGGTATTATGTTGAGCTCTATTCTGTTAGCTACCTTGAACATTATTATTATTATTATTTTTGGAGATGGTGTCTCACTCTGTCACCCAGGCTGGAGTGCAGTGGCTGGATCTCAGCTCACTGCAACCTCTGCCTCCTGGGGTCAAGCAATTCTCCTGCCTCAGCCTCCCATGAAGTTAGTACTACAAGTGACCGCCACCACAGCAGGCTAATGTTTTTGTATTTTAGTAGAGACTAGGTTTCACCATGTTGTCCAGGCTGGTCTCAAACTCCTGAGCTCAGGCAATCCTCCTGCCTCGGCCTCCCAAAGTGCTAGGATTACACGCGTGAGCCACCTCACCCAGCCTGAACAGTATTTTTAAAATTCCACCTTGCTTATTTATTAAATGAGTTTAATAACAGTTACCTTTTGAGGTGGTGGTAAGAATTTGAAGTTTTATGAAGCACCTAGCATGGATTTCAAACTCAATGAACTAATGTCATTTCTAAAATAATTTCTATATCAAGGCAGAGGTTAAGAATATGGACAATTCAGCTGGTGTCCCTGGATAATAATGTGGGTGCTCAGTTTCCACCTGGTTCCAGGTCTTAGGGAAAGAAAAAGATTTCATTTTAAATGACAATCGATTGAGATTAAGGAGAGCCTGAAATATTGAAATTGCCCTTGATTTAGTTAACGTTGGCTCAAGAATTTTGTTTAGATGCCATCACTACATACAGCTTGGAAAAAAAAACAAAAAAGCAAAAAAACAAAAAAACACCCAAAGCCAAGGCTGGGAAACATTTCGAGCTCAGAATTTCACTGCTAATGTAAGAGACACAAATATCTTGCTTTTCTAGGTTTGAGTATGAAGGTAATACCATTTACTATGTTAGTTCCTAAAAAACTAGAGAACAACTTAAATTATTTTTAAGACAATCATGAGTGTACTTTAACATACCTTTGACATGTTAAAATATTACCAAGATGTGGTAAGGTCCATCAACTTTGATGCCCTTAATATGCATAATTTTGACATTCAATACACTATAGTAAGAACTTCACATTTTAAAAAAGGCATTGAACACAAAGGTATTTGCAGGTTTGAAGCTTCTTAATGTTATTCGTGTGCTTGTTGCATTGTTAGAAATATGACTTATTGGCAATGTTTAAATATGATAAGTTCAAAATATTTCATCTCTAGAGGGTATCTATTGGTAATAATTACTAGGACCAGATATAGAATGGCTTCTAAGCTTACCACTCCTCTCACAAACTAAATTATTTGTTAAATAAGCAAACTTTTCTATGAAGAGAATAAGAAAATTTAACACTAAAACATAGGTTTCTGATTTTTTTGTGCTAAGCATCAGAGATATTCTGATCAAAATTAAGAAAAAATAGATTTCTTTCCTGATTAATCTAATTTTTTCCCTTTCCACCAAAATGGTTTGCTGAAGATAGGACTTTTTCCATATTAAGCCAAAAATTGAGCTCGTAGTCTTTTATTTCTTTCAGCCTTTAATAGGTGAACAAAGTAAAATTAAAATTGAGGTTTGCAGTCAAAATTTGCAGAATGACCTATATTACCCTTCATGAACTATTAAATAAACAGATCAGTAGGCTAAATACAGGTAACCGTTTATCTTTGTTAAATTAAAATGAATGAATTATTTATGTATTTATTAAAATAAATCTCCATTCATCACATACCATATAAAAACTCATTCCAGAAAATTATGAACAAAGCAGAATTTCTATAAAGTAATATACTACTTTAAAATGTGTAATGTAGTATACGCTAAAGTAATATAGTTTAAATATCATGTGTTTTAATATTTAGAGCTTGCAGAGTGAAATAATGTGAGATAGAAGCATATAAATCTTAACATATATATATGACCCAGGAAACATGGTTTATTAAAGACAGAATTAAATTTGGGACAGAAAACCTATATTCCAGCTGTGTGATCTTGAACACAGCTACATTCAGGTATATTCTGGGACAAAGCACATTAAATCAGAGATTTTAAAGATAGAAGCTAAAGGTGGAAAATGCTAGTCTTATGATCTGAAATTTAATATTGACGACCAGGAACTAGAGTAGCTCTTTGTTTGTAGATTTTTTTAATAGAGTGAGGAACAAATAAAAATATATAAAAGTGCCTGATTGCTTTTTCCCCTCCGCATTTTTCCACCTCCCTTCTTCTTTCCTCACCCCTCACATAAGTGTTGGTCTCATTTTGATGGACATCCAGTGCAATCTTTGGCGAAGGTGGTAATTTGACATGTCAATCTCTCCTGCTTTAACAAGCTGGTGCCTTCACAGCTGTGATACCATGGAGCCCAGTTATTTTTGTCTTGATAAAAGACAATTGTCAAGCTTTAGCTACAGCTAATTTAGGAACTTCTCAGAGCTTGCTATTTCTGAATGTTCAGGTGTTGGATGTTATTTATTTATTTTCTCTTAATAGAACTCCTTTCTTGCCTTCTGGAAATTTATTCAGCACTCAAAAAAATATTTGCAGCTTTGCCTGAAAATAGCCACATGCAAAATTTTAAACATTCAAACTATTATCCCGACTTTGTTATTATCAAATGTTGGTGTCATTATTTATGCTTAGCTGAATTTATATTGTCTCTAATTCCTATGCATTTGGTAGATAATTCTAGAGATGAGATCAATATAAGGGCATGTTAAATTAATTAAATTATTTTATCCAAATATTAATAATAAATCGAATATTTATGTGCTTATTTTCTTAGACACTATTTTAATTTGAGTATAGAGCCCTGAAGAAAAAAAAAAAGATTTACATATTCTTACATTGAGGTGACTCAATAATGTCTTTTTCATTCATTCATTCACTCAACACATAATTATTTGTTTCTTACTGTCTGTGAGGTATCAGAAAAGAAGAGATAAAACACACAGTCACTGTA
The DNA here is from genome assembly GCF_000001405.40 of Homo sapiens. Classification (NCBI taxonomy): domain Eukaryota; kingdom Metazoa; phylum Chordata; class Mammalia; order Primates; family Hominidae; genus Homo; species Homo sapiens. The sequence goes on along the minus strand of NC_000011.10, from coordinate 38,425,117 downwards.
TTAGAGCTCTCCAGAGCAACAGAACTAGTAGGATAGATGTATATATGAAAGGAGTTTATTAAGGAAATTGACTCACATGATCACAAGGTGAAGTCCCACGATAGGCCATCTGCAAGCTGAAGAGCAAGGAAGCCAGTAGTGGCTCACTGCAAATTCAAAACCCTCAAACATAGAGAAGCTGAAAGTGCAGCCTTCAGTCTGTGACCAGAGGCCCAAGAGCCCCTGGCAAACCACTTGTGTAAGTCCAAGAGTCCAAAGACTCCTGGAATCTTGAGTCTGATGTTGAAGGGCAGGAAGCAACCAGCATGGGAGAATGATGAAAGCGGAAGACTCACCAAGCCAGCTTACGTCACCTTATTCTGACTGCTTTTTCTAGCCATGCTGGAAGCCCATTGGATGGTGCCCACCCACACTAGTGGTCCTCTCCCAGTCCACTGACTCAAATGTTAATCTCCTCTGGCAACATCCTCACAGACACACCCAGAAACAAAATTTCAATCCAATTAAGTTGACACTTAATATTAACCATTAATTTACCATTAACCATTAACAGCCACTGACTTCAATAACTTTTCAGTTTATTTTAAAAACATATTACAGGAACCAGAAATTAAAATCAAGCACAATAAATTATCTACTAGAAATAAGCACAAAATGCTAAAGGAAGTTAAAGGAGCATGACCTAGATCCTTGTCCTAGTAGATGTCATTACTGAGACCAGCTATCTGGATGATAGTAATTAGATTTTTAAAAAAGGATTAAAAAACCGAGTTGTGTAATTTAAATGGGTGCTTTGTATGTTCTATGAATTATATCTCAATAGCACTGTTTATAAATAAAGTAAAAGAAATTAGATCTGAAAGAAAGGTAATAGCATTAAGAATGAAGAGGAGAGGGGTGAGAAAGTTGACGGATGGGATATAAAGGACTTTTGGGCCAAGTGGATTACTTGAATGTGGGAGAGCGAAGGTAAGGAAGAAGGAAAAGACCAGGAAAATATGCTGCTTATTGTTTATATAGGTACTGAGTGATGGTAATTTCAATTATTGAAAAAGAATCTACAGGAATAATATTTATGTTTGGGAGTAACATGATAATATATGATTAGTTCTGTGATTTTCATGCTAAGTTTAAGCTGTTTATGTGATATGTATGGGTCACCAGCAGGTATTTTAATAAAAATATATAACTTAGGAGAGCCATTTAGGCTATAAATGTAGATTGGAGAGCCACCAATGAGCAGGTAGATGGTAAAATCATAGGGTAAGTAGGCAGGCTTTTCCAGAAAGAATATTTTGATGAAGAAAAGTAAAGAGAATAAATCTCTGGAAACCATCATGACAGAGAGAGGAACTTGCAAACATTATTTTAAAGTTAATGGGCCCAAATTCGAAAGAATTTTGAGTTAAATGACATTACAGATTGTCTAGTATAGTAGTTTCAAATATGGGAGTAGGTGGCATAGATCCCTTGATTCTCTTGAAACAGTAAGAGAAATCAAGCATATAAAATAGGTAAAATAATAGTGACTCTCTTAAAAGCAGAGCATGCATGTATGACCTTTTGGCTATTTATTCCCACCTAAGAGTGGGAGTCACTGAGTTGCTCATTGCAATCTTCTTAAACCACATAGACTGTAGTATGAAAATATCTGCTTTAATTGCTACCTTCATTTTACTTAGAGAGAAACTATGCCTCAAATAGAGGTCAATCTGAAAAGCAGAATTACATTGAGTATTATACAGTTAGGGACTTAAATAAATGAGACCTACTCAGCCGGGGGAAAATATAGGGAAGTGAAGAGCCCAAAGTGAGAGTTGGAATATCAGAGAAAAGTCAACAACCACCAGCTCTCTTGAAGTTGTCAAGTAGGTGACAAGTCAGAGCTTTCAAGGAATTAAGGGAAATCAAACACAACTAGCTTGCAAAGTGAGACCAGGAAGGAGAGCTGGAGAAGTCTATAGAAGCTGCTGCCATCAGAAAGAAGAGCTGAACGCAGGGAGGGACAGTGAGGACATGCTAAAATTCAATGGCATCTCTGTCTTTCAGGACCACCTAGATAGTAAACTGCTATTCCACTTCCACCTTCTTAATTAATCCCATGCAAATTTCTCTTTTGGACACCTTCCATTCAGTAAAGTGATTTCTAGAAAATACAGCTGTAGCTTAAAGTTGACACAAGATAAAAACACCTTAGAGACACTGACAAAACTTTAAGCCAGTCTCTTACTGAATTACTAAGTCCAAATGCTGGTTATCTTAAACACAAAGATTTTTGTTTTGTTTTGTTTTGTTTTGTTTTGTTTTGTTTTTAATCCAAAAAACTTTTAGCTGTTTGTACTTCTTTAAAAGCAGATTTGTTTTTAGCGTCTGAAGTACCATTCTTGAATCTGAAGTTAATAATTCAAATTGTATTTATTTATTTAGAAAATAACCCTGTCTTACTCTCTTGCCCAGGCTGGAGCGCAATTGTACAATCTCAGCTCACTGCAGCCTCAATCTCCAGGGCTCAAGTGATCCTCTCACCTCAGCCTCTCCAGTAGCTAGGACTACAGGCATGCACCGCCATGCCCAGCTAATTGTTTGTACTTTTTGTAGAAATGGGTTTTGCCATGTTGCCCAGGCTGGTCTCAAATTCCTGAGCTCAAGTGATGTGCCCACCTCAGCCTCCCAAAGTGCCAAGATTACAGGCATAAGCCACCAAGTCGAGGCTAGAATTTTATTAAAGCATATCTTTGTTTTTTTAAATTATCTCTTTGTTCATCATTGTCATTATTTTACCTGCTTATTTTTTATATTTTGTTTTTCATTCTATATTAATTCATTTTGTTCAAGTTATTTTTTCTTCAAATTTAAGATGAGCTTTCATTAGGTGTTCCTATTTATAACACATGAACTTGATTGTCAGTATGAGGAGCTGGCACAGCTTTCTCTTGCAATTACGTGAGGCTACTTCTCAAACAAACGTGACCCTTAGTGGGAATACTAGTTATTACTTTGAGTAAGTCGGGAGAGCTCCTATGAGAGTTTCTAAGGAACTCTCCACAAAAGGAAAAATAAGAGAAGCCTTTGTGTTAGAATAGAGAGACAATAGTACCTCAGGCTTTATTCTGATATTCTCTCCTTTTCCAGCACCTTATCTGGGATCCATACCTAAATATATCTCTCCCTCCTGCTTTATAGAGACCAGTTCTAAGGCTTTGCTTAAAAACAAAATCCCTTCCTGTAACCTATTCTGGTCCCTAAGAAATAACTTTGTCCACTTTTATAATTACCATTTATAAAATAAGTTACCTTGGTAATTGTTCTCTGATTTTGTCAAGTTCTTTGTAGGCCACAGTTAACCCAGTTTTTCCCTATGAAAATCTATGCTCTTATTATACATGTTCTTTACAGGATTTCACATGCTTGCTTCCTTCCACGTAGTCTCAAGATTTCCAGGCCATAGGTGGCATCTGTGACATTTATCCAACACTGTAAGAGTTCAACAGGCTTCTTTAACAACACTATTTTTAAAAATTATTGTCATTTAAACACCTGAAGTTAGTACACATAGATGTTTGTGTAACCATGTTTAAATTGAAGAGCATTGTTGGACATGATTGCAATATTGCCCTTATAACTGGGCAACTGGGGTTCCTGATCCAAGCCCCACACCATGGGACAACTAACACTTCAGGATACTTTACTGGTATTTTTCTAGGGCCCCTCTCGTCCCTGGGGCTAGCCAGACTGGAGCTTGTTAAGACAATTTTCCTGAAGGCGGGAAAAGAATTTCATAGGCTTAAGTTGATTTTATATCCATCTGTAAGCTTTCCAACTCTTCACCCCAGCTACCACAAGTGGAATCAACCTAAGACACTAAGGAGCTCCAGGTACCTTGTAGCCTACCACATTCTAGGGAAGCATCATGGTGAGCAGTTCACTCCCATTGTGTTGCCTGTTTCTTTTGTGAGGCAACTCAGAGTCCAGAGAGAAAAGAAAGAAAAAGAAAAGAAAAGGAAAGAAAGAAAGAAAGAGAGAGGGAGGGAGGGAGGAAAAATGAGAAAGAGAATGAAACAGAGAGAGAGAGAAAGAAAGAAAGAAAGAAAGAAAGAAAGAAAGAAAGAAAGAAAGAAAGAAAGAAAAGTTCTCTCTCTCTGTTCCTCAACATATATCTTTTGTAAAACTGAAATCTTATTTGATTGCTTAAGGAAGTAACACTGCTAATAACCAATTTTGAAAAGTGTATTTCGTTATTTTCTGCAACAATGAAATCATGATTTTTATATGTAACTACAGCTATATCATTTAGCAGGCAAAGGCAGAAATTAGCAATTAGACATTCAAATAGAATCTCTTTGAAAGATAGATAGAAAGTTTTTTACATAGTATACCGAACTATGCGATGACTTTAATAATGTGCAATTCTAGTTTTTTTAAAAAAAGGTAAGAAATTATTTACCTGCGTTTTCAGTAGTTTGTTGATCTATGTAAAGTGTCAAGGAAAATATCACCTCTAAATAAGGAAGATTTCCTCATATCTTAATGAAAGATCAACAATTTTTTTTTATTATTATACTTTAAGTTTTAGGGTACATGTGCACATTGTGCAGGTTAGTTACATATGTATACATGTGCCATGCTGCTGCGCTGCACCCACTAACTCGTCATCTAGCATTGGGTATATCTCCCAAAGCTATCCCTCCCCCCCTCCCCCCACCCCACAACAGTCCCCAGAGTGTGATGTTCCCCTTCCTGTGTCCATGTGATCTCATTGTTCAATTCCCACCTATGAGTGAGAATATGCGGTGTTTGGTTTTTTGTTCTTGCGATAGTTTACTGAGAATGATGATTTCCAATTTCATCCATGTCACTACAAAGGACATGAACTCATCCTTTTTTATGGCTGCATAGTATTCCATAGTGTATATGTGCCACATTTTCTTAATCCAGTCTATCATTGTTGGACATTTGTAAAAGAACAGAAATTATAACAAACTATCTCTCAGACCACAGTGCAATCAAACTAGAACTCAGGATTAAGAATCTCACTCAAAGCCGCTCAACTACATGGAAACTGAACAACCTGCTCCTGAATGACTACTGGGTACATAACGAAATGAAGGCAGAAATAAAGATGTTCTTTGAAACCAACGAGAACAAAGACACAACATACCAGAATCTCTGGGACGCATTCAAAGCAGTGTGTAGAGGGAAATTTATAGCACTAAATGCCCACAAGAGAAAGCAGGAAAGATCCAAAATTGACACCCTAACATCACAATTAAAAGAACTAGAAAAGCAAGAGCAAACACATTCAAAAGCTAGCAGAAGGCAAGAAATAACTAAAATCAGAGCAGAACTGAAGGAAATAGAGACATAACAATTTATTTTTGATGTAATTATAATTTCTTTAAAAGTAATGTTTATATAAAATTACTGTATAATGCAATGAAAATGTTAAAATAGAGAAAATCCTTGCTGGGTTTTACACAGTACTAGGTCTTCATGTAGATATTGTTGACAAGCCCCTTTTATAGAGTAAATTTGCTGTTTTGCTTGAGCCGAGGACAGCATTTGTAATGTCTGTATGTATATAAATTTGAAAGGTACAAATTGACAAGATTCTTGATGACATGTCAAGAAATATTTGCAAATATTTCTGGTATCAGCACAATTCAGATTCAAATAAGAACTTGTCAGACACAAGACTATTTATATGTAAACTAGTAAATAGGATGGAAGGAAAGGAAAGAAATGAAATGAGCTTTGTCACCCACTGCTAGATTTCAAAGTGCTAAATCAGTAAATGTCCTGTTCAAAATAATCACGTGTCATATAAGAAACAAATACAAAATATTTTAGCTATCTGTCCAGGCCCAAAGAGGCAAAACTGTCATGCAATTAAACATTTATAAATCATCCTTTAGACTATATTATCCAGAATGTTCTTTCTAATGAGGTCCATACTAGTGATTTCATTATGTGTGATCCCAGTGCTCATTTGGGGTATAGGAGTATCATTTACTCCAATTTGATTAAATTCACTCCAACCAGTCTTTGACACTAAAAGAAATCCTTTGGCTTTTCTTCTTTGTTTCTTCATTTAATTAATAGGAATGACACTTGACATTTAACAATAGATATCTTGAGGAAAGAAAAAGAATGTCTACATTTTTCTTTAATGAAAGACATTGAATAGTTCCACTTGAACATATATAAATAAAATTTAAATAAGTAATTTGTACACATTTATACATAATAAATCTTTTAGTAGACATAATACCTTTATATTATCTTTCAACAAATGCTTTTATTTATTAGATGTTGCCCAAAATTAATTTATAAATTATTTATTAAATATATTCTATGTGTCAAAGCTTTGTTATCTGTTTTGGGAATATAGTAAACAACATAGTTGGAATGCTGATCTACGATCTTAAGCTACACGGGAGAAAGAAAGGAAGAATCAATATCATGAAAATGGCCATACCGCACAAAGTAGTTTATAGAATCACTGCTATTCCCATCAAGCTACCATTGACTTTCTTCACAGAATTAGAAAACCATACTTTAAATTTCATGTGGAACCAAGAAAGAACCCATATAGTCAAGACAATCCTAAGTAAAAATAGCAAAGCTAGAGACATCACGCTACCTGACTTCAAACTATACTACAGTAACCAAAACAGCATGGTACTGGTACCACAACAGATATATAGACCAATGGAACAGAACAGAAGCCTCAGAAATAACACTATACATCTACAACCATGTGCTCTTTGACAAACCTGGCAAAAACAAACAATGGGGAAAGGATTCCCTATTTAATAAAAGATGTTGGGAAAACTGAATAGCCATATGCAGAAAATTGAAACTGGACCCTTTCCTTACACCTTATACAAAAAGTAACTCAAGATGGATTAAAAACTTAAATGTAAGACCTAAAACCATAAAAACCCTAGAAGGAATCCTGGGCAATACCAGGATATCGGCATGGGCAAAGACTTCATGACTAAAACACCAAAAGCAATTGCAACAAAAGCCAAAATTGACAAATGGGATCTAATTAAACTATAGAGCTTCTACACAGCAAAAGCAACTATCCTCAGAGTGAACAGGCAACCTACAGGATGGGAGAAAATTTTTGCAATCTATCCATCTGACGAAAGGCTCATATCCAGACTCTACAAGAAACTTAAACCAATTTACAAAAAAACACAACCCCATCAAAAAGTGGATGAAGGATATGAACAGCCAATTCTCAAAAGACAACATTTATATGGTCAACAAACATATGAAAAAAAGCTCATCATCACTGGTCATTAGAGAAATGCAAATCAAAACCACAATGAGATACCATCTCATGCCGGTTAGAATGGTGATCATTAAAAAGTCAGGAAACACAGATGCTGGAGAGGATGCAGAGAAATAGGAATGCTTTTACATTGTTGGTAGGAATGTAAATTAGTTGAACCATTGTGGAAGACAATGTGGTGATTTCTCAAGGATCTAGAACCAGAAATACCATTTGACCCAGCAATTCCATTACTGGGATTTATTTCATTTCATATTCATTACCCAAAGGATTATAAATCATTCTGTTATAAAGACCCATGGACATGTATATTTACTGCAGCACTACTCACAATAGCAAAGACTTGGAACCAACCCAAAGGTCCATCAATGATAGACTGGATAAAGAAAATGTGGCACATACACACCATGGAATACTATGCAGCCATAAAAAAAGAATGAGTTCATATCCTTTGCAGGGACATGGATGAAACTGGAAACCGTAATTCTCAGCAAACTAACACAGGAACAGAAAACCAAACACTGCATGTTCTCACTCATAAGTAGGAGTTGAGCAATGAGAACATATGGGCACAGGGAGGGGAGCATTACACACTGGGGCCTGTTGGGCGGTTAGGAGTAGGGGGAGGGATAGCATTAGGAGAAATACCTAATGTAGATGATGGGCTGATGGGTGCAGCAAACCACCATGGCACATGTATACCTATGCAACAAACCTGCAAGTTCTGCATATGTATCGCAGAACTTAAATTATAATAAAAAAAAGTAACGTGAAAATGTCTAAATTTAATGAACTTATTAAATGATTTCAGAAAGTGATATATGATATGAGAGAAATTAAACTGTGATAAGAAACAAAGTGACTGCAAAAAAGCACTTTTTTGCTGGGCGCGGTGGCTCACACCTGTAATCCCAGCACTTTGGGAGGCAGGGGAGGGTGGATCACGAGGTCAGAGATCGAGACCAGCCTGGCTAACATGGTGAAACCCCATCTTTACTAAAAAAAAAAAAAAAAAAAAAATCAGCCGGGCGTGGTGGCGGGAGCCTGTAGTCCCAGCTACTCGGGAGGTTGAAGCAGGAGAATGGCGTGAACCCAGGAGTCGGAGCTTGCAGTGAGCCCAGATCGCGCACTGCACTCCAGCCTGGGTGACAGAATGAGACTCCGTCTCAAAAAAAACAAACAAACAAACAAAAAAAACTAAAAAAAGCACATTTTGAGATTGGATAATCATGTAAGTCTTCTTAGAGAAGTGCTATGTAAGATGATGATAATTTGATGAAAAAGAACAGTCATTTAGGTGAAAATGTTACTGGGAAGTGTGGGCGTTCCTTGTTTTTTGTCTTCTTGAAGGAAATAATTCTGTTAATAGACCAATCAGTAAAGCAAAAAAAAAAAAAAAAGAAAATAATACAAGGTTTATTAAGGACATAAGAGTTTCCCAGAGAAGAGTAGGCTGACACAGCTGGGAACAGCTCCAAGTGCTCTCTGTTGCAGTTTGTATTACACTGGATATTTTTTTTTTAAGTTCCCACTTCTGTCTCAAGTTTCTGCCTTTGTTTTTGTCTAGTTTCCTGCTTCTGTCTTAAGTCTCTGCATTCGTTCCCACGTACTTCCCATCCAGGTTTGTGGGATTCTCCCTACTGTCTGTTGATGCGCATGCCTGGGTCTGGTGATCAATACAAATCCTACCTCTTGGCAGCATTGTTTATTACTGCCACTCCAGAAAGATAGTATAGTGGTCAAATCTGTACTTATTGCACCTGTATATCTCTTAGAAATTTATCATTTGCCCTTTTCTCCTCTTACCAGCATGTAGCTAGCTATGTTCTGACAGCTTAACCGTAGAATGAGTGATTGACGGGCATCTTAAGAGGCATTTCATGGTGTTATTTCCTGTGTAGGTATTTGCCCCCTCCTCCACTCATATTTAACATGCATGTGTTGGATGTTCTCTGAGGCAAGAGATATTCAAGAGCTTCTTCCCCCAGGAGTCTCCCCTCCTGCTAATGTCTAACTATCTGCCTACTCTAACATTCCCCCCTCAAGAGATTGAGACTCTTAAAATCATCAGGTTTAGGGGATCCTTGGGCTTCTGTAACTGCTTCCTGCTGTTATGGGATGAATAATTCAGGGTCTCATTCTCTTGCTCTCTGTTAGGGATGCAACCCCTTCACTACTTTCTGGAACCTTTGCCTCCTGGCATTTAGAGGCAAGGTGTGTGTGTATAGATGATGGGGTCTCCAGGGGTGATTGGTTCATAGCTGTATATTATAGAAGCTTGGTCTGAAATTGTTGTATGCCTGAGGAGACAAATTTAACAAGTAAGTTTAAAAAGCTGGTGTTGAAAAAAGAGGGGTAGAAGTATGGAGGTGGCTGGTCCCAGTAAGAGGAGAAACCATGTGAGTTGGGAAAACAGATTTTACAGAGTTCCAGATGGAATTTGCTGAGAGACTTTCTTTTCAAAGTTTATGAAGCTACTTAGCATGGTTGTAGATTTTCGTTATAGTTTCCTTTATTTGCCTACTATTGTTGACATAAGTATACTAGAATTTATTAATTACAGGGTAGATTCTGCCTTGTTTTGTAAGGAGGTGATCTAAAGCTAGTCTGTTGTCTATGATTTCATTAGCAAGAGAAGTTAGCGAGGTGTTGAAATTAGAGATTGTGTCACTGGTTGTTTGAGGACAGTAAGAAGTAAGTGAGATCTGGAATCGGTTAGACATAAGATGGTCCATAGGGCTCCCTGAAGCTAGTGTTAGATTTAAAGTAAAACTGTCAACTGGGATGCATTGCAAAGACAAAGATTTGGTAGTGTGGTTATGTCAAATCCAATGGTTGGAAAGGTTATTTCTTGAGGCAATTATTTTGGAGAAATTGACAAGGAAATCATTGCCTCATTGAGCCCATATGGCAAAGGGATAAGTGAGAGAGAAGAGTGGAAAGATGTATTTTTTTGTTATAGCCTAATCCCTTTAGGCTTTATTGAAATAAGAATTATTATAAAATTAGGAAAGACTCTATTAGTTTATGGTGAATAGTTAGTGACAAAGCAAGCTGTTATTGGAATTCCTGGTGGTGTATAAGATAGGGTTAAAATAAGAGGAATAATCAGTGCTCCCACAAATAAGATTCCCAATATTGGGACTACCCTACTTTGAGGTAAAAGGAGGGGGAACATTACTTATCTTTTCATTTGAATAGGAACTTTTAGTCCTCCTGTGGCTCACAAGCATAGTTGGGTGTTGGTTTCATTCTTGTTTCCTCAGAATCTTCCCAGGATTCTATTTGGAAATGATGGATCCAACTAGAAATTCCAGAAACTTTAATGGCTGTTGAGGTAGAAGGCAAAGCAGTAAAAGGGCCTTTCCATAAGATGAATTAGTAGATATCTAGCAGATAAATGTGTTCAGGTTTTAATAAGGACCTGAGTTTTTGGTAGGTACAAGCGTTGGTTGTTAGAAGGGTCTCCAGCCATCAATACTCCCTGTGTATATATTTGATTAGTTCTAGGTATCAAATTCTCTATCTTGGCTTTGGATACTTAGAACCCCCTTTTGATAGGAAGTTTAAGGTTTGTATTGCATGTTTTGCAAGCTTTGTGGAGAGGGAGCAGAGGAGTGGATTATCTATATATTGTGGTAATTATCCCCCCTCAAGATATGGCTTGGTTAGATTTCTTGCTAGGGTTTATCTAAATAAGTGTGAGCTGTCTTTAAAACCCTGAGGTAAGACTGTCCAGGTTGACATAATTGGTTAAAGGTTTAGTAGGCTTTTCTAGGAGAAATAAGGCCATTAGAGGAAAAGATAAATTTGGAGATTGGGTAAATATTAAATAGCCAAACATCTTGAAAAGTACATTCTTACTCAAAAGGGGTGTGGGGCATTTAGACATTGCCAGGGACTGGTGGGAGAGTTGTAATTGGTCCCATATGTAATATAAAGGAATCTTTTGAGGGAGCAGGGGTGCTTTTCTCCCCCATCATTCAACAAGATTTGGAGAAAAGTTGTCTGGAGAAGGAGGTTAGCACAAAATAGTTAGCTTTTGAATGCAAAAGAAAATGTATAGTCCTACTTTCCACTTCCAAAGTTGCCCTCTTTTATTGACAATGTCTGATCTGGCAGCTAGCTGGAGCATGGGGCCCCTTCAGCTCAAGGCCATCATTGGATGGGGGCCCAACTGGTCACCTTTTGGCTCATAGGGCAGTCCCTCTTCCAGTGACTGAGCTTCTGGCAGAGGGAGAGGCAGGCCACATGGGGCTTTCCCATTTGGCTCATTTGGGCAGTGGTCTAGTCTTCGCCACCAATTGCAGTTACTTGAATGAATATCCTTAGGGCAACCTGGAGGTGGCTGGAGGACTTATAAAACAACCAATAGCTGGGCCTACCTCTTGTCCCTGCATTTCTCCTTTTCCTTAGCCCTGTCTTCCTCATCCTGATCTTGGTGACAAAAGACTAAGAAGTCTAATTTGAGGATTTCTGGCATAGGATCACTGGGTCCTTAGGCTGACTTTTATAATTTTCTCCCAATGCCTGGGGTGGTTTGGGTAAAGAGATGATCTTTAGGACTAGTTGTCCCTCTGGGGATTCCAAGTTTAAGTTGATATGCTTAATAAGGGTTTCCTGTATTCTTTTGAGAAAGGCTACAGAATTTTAATTTGGACCCTAGTTTATGGTGGCTAACTATAGCTCAGATGGCAGGGTCTGCCTTCTAAGCTTTACCAAGTTTAAGGTCTTCCCTCAAGGCCATGAAGGTTTGTAAATAGGGGACCTCTGACTATATGCCCTGATGGCAGCAGAAAAGTTCCAGCTGAAGGATCATACTAAAATTTGTACTTCTGTTCTCTGGCCAGATTTCCTCTGGTTTTGTAAAGGAAAATTAGTTTTTTGCTTTAAAGTTTGAGGGTCAAATTTATCCCAGTTTTTTTAAAGGATGCCTCTGAGACTGGGGGAATCTTGGGGTATGGACATCTGGTTACCCAGCTAAAAGAAAAGACAGGAGAATTGTAAGATGAAGGAGGTGTCCACTGTCCATTTCTACAATGATGTATGAAGGTGAGGCATCCCTCACCCGACTTGGGAAGGCAAGACAGCACTTGCCTTGCCCATAGGGAGCTCCAGATTTAGTTGATCCTTTTCATGGGCTTGATTCTTTTGGTCTCTTCTTTCTCTCTTTGCCTCAGAAATATCTCCCCAGTCACCCTTTGGTTAGCGGCTGGAAGAGTATTTGGCACAGGGGTAATTTTGCTGCCTTTTATATTCTCAATGACTCTGGCCCTTTAAGAAGCCCAATAGTTGTACCCCCACCAAAGCTTGCAGATAAGGGACTTCCACAAAGGGTTCTTTGAGTGCATAATGGCATTTAGATAAAAGATGTAGATGGTTAGAGGTGTGGGCAAAGGTTTGAAACCTTCCCCTGTTTTGAAGAGATTCCTTAGGGATTCTGCAGAAAAGATGCTTGAAAAGCCATGGTAATTCTCTAGAGCCCTGGCTAAGTGAACTGATCTGCCAGATTAATAGTTCATGGGAACGTGCTTCCATCTTGGCATTGTTTGTGTCCAGAGGAGGAGAAGAGGGGAGAAATTCAATGAAAGGCAAGTATAACAGCAGACTTATTGGAAGATAATCATTTTGGGTTCAGAAATAAAAAGATCCCTAGTCATTGTGCAGTCTGAGCTTAAGTCCGGCCACCTTCATAAACCTCCTGTCAGGGAGGGCGACAGCGACTTAGATCTACCCAGTGTGGACTTTGAAGTCTTCCCATCTCCGTTTGTCACCCATCAGCAGGAAGTGAGAAATCATCTGGAGGGAGTAGAGTCAGTCACTGAAGGGAATTGTTCTGGAGATTTGTAGGCGAATGAGAGAGCAAGTGAAAACACTCACCTTAAAGTAGCAAGAACAGCATTGGGAGTAGGAGATTTTCCTCTAAACTGTAGTACAGCAGCACAGAAAGAAGCAGAGGTAGTCGACCAGGTAGTCTGGGACCACTGTGGCATTTACCACAAACAAAAGTTCATGGATGAGGCTATCTGAGTCACGGCTCCACAACATGTTACTGGAACGCACAGGAGTCTTCCGTTCTTGTCTTTTCAGAGGAAAGTTTCAGCCAAGAGACCAATTAATAACGCAAGAAAAAAGGTTTATTAAGGACATAAGAGTACACTCCAAGAGAAGAGTGGGTTGACCCAGATGGAAACAGCCCTGAATATTCTGTATTGCAGTTTTTATTATGTCAGACATTTCCTGCCACTGTCTCAAGTCTCTGCCTCTATCTTTGTCTAGTTTTCTGCTTCTGTCTTAGGAATCCACATTTGTTTCCACCTGTTTCCCACTCAGGTTTGTAGGATTCTCCCTTACTGTGAGTTAATCTGCACCCGTGGGGCCCAGTGATCAATACAAATTCTACCTAATGGCAGCATTGCTCATTACTGCCACTCCAGCATATAGTGGTCAAATCTATACTTACTGTGCCTACATATCTCTTAGGAATTTCCCCTTTGGCCTTCTTCCCTTCTTATCAGCTCGCTGCATTTTCACAGTTTACTACAGAGATAGTGATTACTGGGCCTCTTAATAGGCATTTTGAGGTGTTTCTTCCTGCATGGGTATTTTCCCTCTCCTCTGCTCATATTTAGCATGCATGCTTCAGGTGGTCTCTGAGGTGTGAGATTTTCCAGAGATTCCTCCTCCAGGGGCTCCCTTTACTGCTCATGTCTAACTATCTGCCTAGACTAACAAAAAGTTAGTATCAGAGATCCCAGGAAGAAAAAAGCAAGTAAAACATCTCCAAAATGGAACTGGCTTGGAATATGTAAAGAAGACCACTAGAATTGGTAAGTAATAAGCAAATGGTAGGGTGAAACAAGGTTTGACAAGGGAAGTACGTAGGGGCCCAAATTATGTTAATTCTTATAAGTCAATATACAGAATTTGAATTTTAATTGAGTTTCAGTAGCTGAGACTTCAACTTCTATGGTGAAATAAGGTCAAATTGAATTGATGCTCTTGAAGATAGGCTGTGGGGGAAAGGGGTAACTACCTGACTATTGTATTGTGAACAAATGCAAGAAGATTCTAGAGGGATGTTAAGACTTAGAATACTTTATGGTTACAGGGTGGGTTTTCCTTTTTACAGCTTCTGACCTGAGGGCAAGACACATTCAGCACATATAAAGCAACTAAAACTTCAGCTGAAACCTCACCATCTCCCTGGCCTTAGAAAATCAGAAGATAGAGTTTGAAGCAACCATAGTAATTGAAATCTAAGCAGGCACTTCATTCAGAAAGTAGAGAGTCAAGAAGAATGGAAAGAATTTAATCACAAATGTTGTGAATAAACTAAGCCTAAATATCAGACTGACCCCTAAACTGCACGTGCACGACTCAGAGGCCAAGCATCCCAATGAAGTATAAAATAACTGAGCTGAAATTTCAGTTTTTATCCAAGAGACAGACAACAATTTAAGTCCAATAAAGCTTGAAAATACAGAAACAAAAAACAATGTTCTCTAAAGGAATAAAAAAGAATCCAGAGACTTGGAATAAAATATATAAAATACCTGGGATACAATTAAAAATTACTTGACAAGTGAAGAACTAGGAAATATGATCTATTTTCAAGAAAAAAGGAACTAAATATAGAGTAACTATAATTCGACCGAAATGTTCAATTAAGCAGAAAAGAGCATTAAACATCTATTATAATATACTCATAAAAATATGCTAATAATAAATTTATATATGTATATATGCATATATATAGATATGTATATAATACATATTATATGTAGATGTATATAGATATGTATAGAATACATATTATATGTAGATGTATATAGATATGTATATAATCTCAGCAGAGAAATAAGATCTATTGAGACAGCAAGCAAAAATTTAGAACTGTCAACTTCAATATTTGATATTTAAAATTTGCTAAACTTAACTACCAAATGGAGATAGCAAGGAAGTTTCAGTAAATTTGAAAATAAAAAGAAATTATCTGTTCTGAAAAGGAGAGGGAAGGAAGAAAATCAACAGAATATTAGAGAAATTTGGGACAATATCAAGAGGTCCAATATCTTCTATATGGAAAGGAGAAAGATATTGAGCTGACAAAATATATAAATAAGAAAATAATCAAAAACTTATCCAATTTTTTTTAAAAACGATGTACATTTTCACACTCAAAATCATTAGTTAACTTCATGCAGAATAAATAAGAAAAACACATGTGGAAACATCATGTTGAAACAGCTGAAAAGTCAAGACAAATGGAAAATTCTGAAAGCTGTGAGGATGAAATGAGAAATCACATAATGGAAGTGTACTGCACTAATTCAAATGATTGCTAACTTTTCAGTAGAAACTATGGGGTCCAGAAGATAACAGACCAGTATCTTTAAAATATTGAAAGAAAAAATAATCAACAGCCGGGCATGGTGGCTCACGCCTGTAATCCCAGCACTTTAGGAGGCTGAGGCGGGTGGATCATCTGAGGTCGGGAGCTCGAGACCAGCCTGACCAACATGGAGAAACCCTGTCTCTACTGAAAATACAAAACTAGCCAGGCCTGGTGGCACACGCCTGTAATCCCAGCTATTCAGGAGGCTGAGACAGGAGAATCGCTTGAACTTGGGAGGCGGAGGCTGTGTTGAGCCGAGATCACACCATCGCATTCCAGCCTTGGCAACAAGAGCAAAACTCTGTCTCAAAAAAAAAAAAAGAAAAAAAGAAAAAAAAAAAGGCCGGGTGCAGTGGCTCACGCCTGTAATCCCAGCACTTTGGGAGGCCAAGGCGGGCGGATCACGAGATCAGGAGATGGAGACCATCCTGGCTAACACGCTGAAACCTGGTCTGCACAAAAAAAATGCAAAAAAAAAAAAATTAGCCAGGCGTGGTGGCGGGCGCCTGTAGTCCCAGCTACTCAGGATGCTGAGGCAGGAGAATGGCGTGAACCCGGGAGGCAGAGGTTGCAGTGAGGCGAGATCATGCCACTGCACTGCAGTCTGGGCAGCAAAGCAAGACTCTGTCTCAAAAAAAAAATAAATAAATAAATAAGAAAAAAAAATAATCAACACAAAATTTTATATTTGTCAAAACATCCTTTAAGAATAAATGTGAAATAAGTATATTATTTTAGATAAAACAAAGCTGAGAGAATTTGTCACAGCAATTCTGCACTAAATGAAATGCTAAAGCAAATGTATTCAGCTTGAAGAAAAATTATACCAGTTGGAAATCAGATCTTTAGGAAAGAATTAAGAGCATTGGGAAATGGCTGTGAGGAAAGGTAAGGGCATTGAAGGGTTTTAAGCAGAATGACACAGTAGGATTAATGTTTTAAAAAATATCTTATGTCAGAAGGATGGACTACATGGGGATAAGAACAATAGTGGGACGCTAGTCAGGAGTCAGTTCAGAAATTTCAGAATAATCTTGGTGCTACAATTAATGCTGGTTTTTATGTCAATATCAACTTGGTCTCTGAGTTTGATAGTCCTTAAAATATTTATTTTTATCAGTGCTCAGTTACCTGAGTAAATGGCAATATGTCTGTCCAGTGTAGAAATGTATAGATGATAGTTTTATATACTCACTGAGATATTATATCATCTGGCCTTCAGTGGACCCACCTATTATTCTTTTATGAATTTCCAGGTCTAAAACCTGTCTCCCTTCAAAAAATTGGGTATAGTAATATTTCTTTTTTTCTTTCTTGAGGTAAATGCCATCAAACTCCTGATTGTCCATCCTTGATTTTTTTTCTGATGGTATAAATTTAGTAGTATCCATGGTTGCTCACATCTTTGGTTCATAGGGTTTTCTATTAAGCATCTACATATTGTCAATGAGTTGGGTTTCTAAGAACCCGCTTCAGAAAATTAATAAGAAAAATAAATATTCATTCATTCAATAAACATTTATCTAGAATCTATTATAAGGAAAGATGAGTCAGAGTAGGCTAGAATATTATAACAAAATAATACAAAATAGCAGCTTAAATGACAAAAGTACATTTCTCAATTATGCTGGAAGATATCTTTACAGTGCTCTTCCTCTGAAGTCAGGCTATTGGAATATCCATCATCTCAAACATTGTAATTCATCCTGGTAAGGCAAAAGAGAGAACAAGAGGAACTTCCATTGGTAATTAAACATTGTGTCATGAGAAAAATTACATGAATGAGCTCAGGGTAATCTGACAGATGATAAGAATCTATATAGAACAAAGGTAATTCAGTCCAATTTTCCCAGGCAAAATACGAGACATGTGATGGAACCAAGCAAATAACAGCAAAGCCAACATGAGGCTGAGCACCGAGATATAAATCAGAGACAAAAAGGACCAACCATCTGAGTCCAGCATAAAATGTTAATTTATATAATCATGAAATAAACAAATTGTATTAAGCCATTAATTTGGAGACAGTTGGTTTCATAGCAATAACAAAATGATACATGGTTAAACTCACCTAGAAATGAGCCAGTATATGAATAATACATTGTGCCCAGAGGATGAAGAGCAAGAGAGCTTTGGCAAATAACTCTAGTAACTACCACAGAAAGGCAGTGCTTAGCATTTTGTGGCTATAGTTTAAACAGAGTTTTTATGCTTCAGATGCTAAGTACTGTTAGGTGAGACAGGATAATGAAAATGAAATATGACACTGCACAGAATATATTAGTGATACATGAAATTATCCAAATTGAACAGGAAGGTGGATGTACTTCTTAGAAAAACTTCCTTTAGCCATTCTTTCAGGTTGCTAGTAAAAAAATTCTCTTAGTTTTCTTTTATATAAGAATGTCTTGATTTCCCCTTGGATTTCTGATGGATATTTTTGCCAGATATAGAATATGCAGTTGACAGTATTTTTCTTTCAGCTCTTGAATAATATTTTGCCACTTTCTTCTTGACTCCATGGTTTCACATGAGGAATTTACTGTCATTTTAATTGTATGTTTCTATAGATAAATATTACTTTTCTTTGGCTGCTTTCTAGACTTTTTGTTTGTCTTTGGTTTTTAAAAGTTTATAAGATTATTTGGAATGGATTTTTTGGGACTTACTCTCTTTGTAGTTCACATAGGTTTTTAAATCTGTGGAGCCTCAGCTGTCCCCTTGGTCTTGCTGAAACCAGGAGTGGGGAAAATAAGAGTGCTTACTAGACCCAGGTTGCTATGCCTTCTTCAATCTCGTTGCCGCTGCATGGGTCAGGTGGAGGCATAGCTCACAATGGCACACAGCTGATACTACCTTGGTCAGAGAATCAAAGCACTCCGGCTTCCATCAGGTAGGGAATGGAAAGTTAACTTCACTTCCTGCTCTGTAGTCCCACGAACCATGAAACATGCACTATCCTGGAAGGAAATCAGACTGCCATCTGAATATACCAGGCAGGAGATGATAGAAGGTAAGATCCTCACTTAGCTTGTTGATATTACCTGGCAAGAGAATTGGAGCACAATGCCTGTGTCCACAAGATGGAAAGAGGGAGAGGATTTGGTAAAGATCTACTTCTCTTATGGCCTAATAAAATTGTGTGAGTAAATATAGCTGTTTATTTGGGGTTTGGTTGGAGTAGAAAATATAGTGCCAAAGACATTTTGTTGTTTTTATGTTTTAGGTTGTTTTTTCCTGATCTTTTCGCTAGAGGGATTAGGATTTTCCTGAAGCTATTTGTGTGTGTGTGTGCATGTTTGTTGCTTGCTCCAGGTTGTAGGTTTCTACAGCCTTGTAAGCATGAGTAGGAAGAGCAAACTCTGAAAAGAACCAATTCTTTGATGTGGGTAGATTTTTCTAAAATTGTCCTGTATGGAAAGGCATTCTAAACACTAATGAAGGCTGCAAGGATTGAAAACACAGAATCAGAGAATGGTAATAGTCTGTAAAATGCTATAGCAAGTACTGCAAAAGCCCAGACATATCCCTTCATGCACTTCTACATAGTGAAGGATATTTACTGTGACACTAGAGTAATGGAACTACTGGAGATTTAATGCTGGAAGCAATCATCAGCTAATGATGTAGTGAGAACCCTAGCTTCCTCAACCATAGATGAGATAACTTCGATAAAAATTGTATGTTTTCTCCAATGGTTTTAGAGAGAGATCTCCAAAGGTTCTGAATTTCAGCTACCCACAGTGATAACCATTTTGAAAGTTCAAAATTTACTAGCTTCCTTTTCTTTAATGTGTTACTACCTCATTCTTCTATATATGTAATATGGTTTGGATACGCATCCCCTCCAAATCTCATGTTGAATTGTGATTCCCAGTGTTGGAGGTGGAGCCTGGTAGGAGGTGATTGGATCCTGGTGTTGTACCCTTCATGAATGGTGTAACATCACCCCTTGGTGATGAGTGAGTTCTTAGTTCACTTGAGGTTTAATTGTATAAAAGATTGTGGGATTTCCTCCTTCTCTCTTGCTCCTGCTCTCTCCGTGTGACACACCAGTTTCTCCTTCACCTTCTTCCATGACTGTAAGCTTCCTGAGTCCCTCACTAGAAGCAGATGCCAGTACCACACTTCCTGTATAGCCTGCAAGACCATGAGATGGCTAAACATATTTTCTTTATATATTACCCAGTCTTAGGTATTTCTTTAGGGCAAGGCAAAAACAGTGAACACAACATGTGTTGCGTGAACACCAAAATAATTTAATTATGTTTGATTCTTTATTTCAAGATCCACTTTTGAGGGAAATCAAAACAAGATAAATATGAATCTCTAGCTCACTGGAGCTAAAGAGGTGTTGTGAGGAATACCCTGATTTACAAGAGGCTGTAATTTCACACTACCTTTTTTTCATCTTTATCTATGATAATGGGGCACTATTATATCTTGAAGATGTGATTTCAGATTACCTCAGTAGATACAGATAAACATTTGACAGAATCCAAATCCTTTCATGACTAAAAACCACTTGACAAGCTAGGTCTAAAAAGAATGCATCTAAACATAATAAACACAGGTCAGTAACAAGACACTGCCCATTGTTACCACCTCTGTTCCACGTCATACTGAAAATTCTAGCCAGAGCAACTAAGCAAGCAAAATAAATAAAAGGAATTCAAATTCTAAAGGGAGAAGTAAAGTTATCTCTTATCTCTCATATAGATCACATTATTCCATATGTAAAAACCCTAAAGGCTCCTCACAAAAACCGTTAAAACTAATTAAACAAATTCAGTAAAGTTGCACAGTACAAAATCAACATATAAAAATTAGTTTCATTCCCATACATTAATAATATACCCTTCAAACAGCTATTTAATTTAATTTATAATTTCATCAAAAATAAAAATAAAGAAAGGGAAACAAAGAAAGGGAAAACTTGTACATCGAAAATTATAAAACATTAATGAAAGAAATTAAATAAACAGAAAAAATGAAAAACATCTTGGGGTTCATGGATTTGGAGATTTAATATATATTAAAATTTCCATATTACCCTAAGCGATCTATATATTCAATGCAATTCTCATCAAAATGCCAATTGCATTTTATACATAAATAGAAAAAAACCCAAAAATTTGTATGAAACTAAAATTACCCTAATACTTAATGCAATCAGTAGCACAAAGAACAAAACTAAAGTCATCACACTTCCTCATTTTAAAATATATTACAAAGCTATGGGAATAAAAACAGTATGATACCAGCATAAAAACAGATATACAGACCAATGGAACAGAATAAATAGCCAATAAACACATACACATACAGTCAACTGATCTTTGACAAGGTTGCCAGATATACACAATGAGAAAAGAATAGCTTCTTCAACAAATGGTGTTGGGAAAACTGGATATTGACATGCAGAAAAAGAGAGAAAGAAATTGAATGCCTACCTTACACCTAACACAAAAATTAACTGAAAATGGACTAGAAATTTAAACATATGCCCTGAAAATCTAAAGCTTCTAAAGAAAACAAAGCAAGACCAAAGATAGGGGAAATCTTTCTGCCATTGATTAGATTATGGGAGTGATTTCTTGAATAAGATGCCAAAGGCACAGGCCTCAATAGCAAAAATCGCTAAGTGGTACTATATCAAGTTAAAAAGCTTTTGTACCACAAAGAAAGTAGTCAACAAAATTAAAAGGCAACTTATGAAATCAGATAAAATATTTATAAACCATATATCTGATAAGCAGTTCTATCTAAAATGTATGGAAACTCCTACAACTCAGTATCAAAATTAATGATAATAATAATAATTATAATAACCCTATTTAAAAATGGACAAAGGACTTGGACAGGTATTTTTCCAAAAAAGACATACAAATGGGCACTAGGTATTTGAAAATATGCTCAACATTTCTAATTATCAGGAAATGCAAATCAAAACTCTGATGAGATATGACTTTACACCAGTTAGGATGAAAATGAAAAATAGCAGTGTTGGCCATAATGTGGAGAAATTGGAACTCTTGTATCCTGTTGGTGGGATGTAAAATGGTATTGCATCTATGAAAAACATTATGAAATATCCTTAAAAATTAAAAATAGAACTACCATATGATTCAGCATTTTCATTTTGATTACATATCCTAAAAGAATTGAAATCATCCCCTCCTGAAGATATTGGCACTCCACGTTTATTGTATCATTAGTCACAATAGCCAAGATATAAATCAACCTAAGTGTCCATCAAAGAATGAATGGATAAAGAAAATATTACACACACACAAACACACACACACACAGGCACACATGCACTTGTATATTATTCAGCTTACAAAAGAAGGAAATCCTGGCATTTGAGACAATATTGATGAAGTTGGAGGACAATATACTAAGTGAAAAAAAAGTCCAGTCATAGGCCAATACTCCACGGTTTTATTTATATGAGGTAGCTATGATAGTCAAATTCATAGAAGCAGAAAATATAATAGTTGCTGTCAGCAGATACAGAGGTAGGAGGTGGAATAATTGGAGATTTGTAAAATAAGTACGAAGTGTCAGTTATGCCAGATGAATACATTCATGAAAACACTGCATCTGTATTTAACGATATGGTATTACACATTCAAAATTAGTTTTGAGAGTAGATCTCATGTAAGTGTTCTTACCACAAAACAAACAAAGAAAAACAAAGTCCTGAGGAAATTTTGAGAGTGGCAAATATGTCTATTACCTGATTGTGGCAATAGATTCATGGGTATTTGTATATGTTCAGACATCAAATCGTACACATATATAACTGCAATGCTTTGTGCATTAATTTACCTCAATAAGCTGTTAAAAAAAACGAAATTTTACATCTCATACAGAAGATGTTGAGAGGAGGAGAATGAGGAAGAGGATGAGGAATGGAAGGAAAGAAGGAAGGAAGAAGGAAGGAAGGAAGGGAGGAAGGAAGGAAGGAAAGAAGGGAGGGAGGGAAAATCAGGGAACGCTGAAGTAGCCAATTAAGAGATTAAAAGTAAAACAAAACACAGCTTAAATTTGGCAGTAGCTGTGAATATATAAAGCAGGAGATCATCTGAGACATAATGTTGAAGTCAGCAGAAACATTTTCTCTTTTGTACAATGACTTTTGGATTAGAAACGTCATGTAGCAATATTTTCCACTACCAACTTTATTTTGCATTTTGGAGGATTTGCTAATACGTGCTATAACTCCATGAGGCCAGAAAAACTCCACTTGCAGAACTGTTCACACTAACATTAAATGCAAGATTTTCCATTTCTTCTCTTACCCCACACGAAGACAATTATGACAACATAAAAATCTAAAATGTGAATAATTATCTGCTTTGAAGCATTTCTTTACCCTTGAAACATCTGAAGGAAACTTGAGGAGCTAAAAAGCCAGAGCTGGGAATCCGTGGCTTAAAGAATAATGGTCTCTGGCTTGGCACGATGGCTCACGCTTCTAATCCCAGCACTTTGGGAAGCTGAGGCAGTCTTGAACCCAGGAGTTCGAGATGAGCCTGGGCAACATGGCTAAACACTATCTCTAGAAAAGTACAAAAATTAGCTGAATGTGGTGGTGAGCTCTTGTAGTCCCAGCTACTAGGGAGGCTGAGGTGGGAGGATTGCTTGAGCTTGGGAGGTAGAGGCTGTATTGAGCTGTGAGCATGCCACTGCACTCCAGCCTGGGCAAGAGAGTGAGAACTTATCTCAAAACTAATAATAATACTCATAATAATACATAAGAATGTTCTCTTATAATCAGTTATTTCTGTTGTAGGACTTAGATGACATTGTCTGATATAAAGGTCACTTAGCACATTGTATATTTCTATGCAGATTTAACTTGAGCAACTCAGATTGACACTCTGTACATTAAAACATCCCTAGGGTCTCTTTCCTCTCAAATACACAAGCAATAAATGGTTAAAATGACCTAAAATGTACATAATAGTCCAGTGATATAAAAGCTACATTAATATATATTTATTGTTTGAACCAGAATATAAATCTTATATGGCTGAAGTTAGTCCTTACATTTACTTTTTTATAGTGTGATGGATGAAACTGAAAGAATGGATTGAAATAGGCTTTTCCACGCCAGGATCCTATGCTAATGAGCACATTACCTCATCATTATGAGTCTCAGCTTCTTCATTTTTAAAATGAGAATGATAAACTTTCCCCACCTGTCTCAGAGAGTGTTACAAAGAGGAAATGAGTAGTTTTTTCAGCATATTTTCTAGAATATAAAGATTTTCTACAGAGCTCATTCTTATTATCATCAATATTAAAAGTACTATTAAGATGACTTCCCCAAAGGTCAGTTAGAATATTTAAGCCATCCTTCAGACCCATTATTTTCTATCTGAAGCAGACCTAATGTTACTCACACACTTCAGAAAACAAGTTGTGAAAATGTTAGGTTGACTGCTCTAACATACAAATCTGGAAAATGGAAATGGTATATTTATCAGCTATGATACTGTAACATGGAATTCACTGAAGCTACACGTACATTTCCAGGATATGTATAGCATTGTCATAGGTGTATTAACCCATATAAGGGCCAATGAGAAAACTTTATGGTGGATTTTCAGGAAGTCTAGGGAAACACTTCTTGTGTCTCAAGTTTTTGAAGATTTATTAGAAGGAACAAATATTTTGGAATCAGGCTATCACAGGTTTAAAGCCATCCTCTGAGAGTTACAATCTCTGTGACCTTCAGTAATTTTCAAATTCCCTATATTTTATTATTATAATTTGTAAAAGTGAGATGATACAGACATGGCTGACTGGTTCGGATGTGTGAGAGATAAAATGCTAATGTTTTGGCAGCGTTTATGGCATATAGTAACCAACGTGCTGTTGAACTAAGTGCCATAGCTACTTCCTAATGATAATTATTCAAACCTTTATAAATCTCTCAATAGTCATGTGGAACATTTCATTTTTATAAGCTGAATTACATATAAATGTGCAAATAAATCAAACTTACCTAATGAATTTATACAGCAAGCAAATACTACCTTTTAAGTTTTACTATATAAATTCTAAGTTAAAATTTTACATCTGTGTAATATGCCCATTTTTCAAATAAGAAAATTGAAAGTCAAAGGTTAAGATGTCTTCCCAGTGACCCCTCTGAGTATACAAATATTCTCTATGTGGGAACACACACACACACATATACACATGTAATATATATCATTGGTGTATTGGTTTTTTAGAGGGCTAGATCTAAAAGGATAGATGCCTATATAGAGAGGAGTTTATTAAGGAATACTGACTCACATGAGCACAAGGTAAGGTCCCACAACAGACCATCTGTAAGCTGAGGAGCAAGGAAGCCAATCCCAGCCCCAAAGCTGAAGACCTTGTTCAAAGTCCGATGTTCAAAGGCAGGAAGCATCCCGCACGAGAGAAAGATGTAGGCTGGGAGGCTAAGCCAGTCTATTCTTTTCACTTTCTTCTGCCTGTGTTTATTCTGTCTGTGCTGGCAGCCAATTAGATTGTGCCCATTCAGGTTGAGGGTGGGTCTGCCTTTCTTAGACCACTGAATCTAATGTTAATCTCCTTTGGCAACACCCTCACTAACACACCCAGAAAAAGTACTTTGCATACTTCAATCCAATGAAGTTGACACTCAATATTCACCATCACAATTCGTTAATGGTATTTTGGAGATATCTCCAAGAATTCTAATTAGCTGTTCCTAATCAGGTATCTCCTTTTCCTTATAGTAACCTGGCTTCCTAGTGGTACAAGAAGCAGATGATCAAAAACATTTAGGATTTAAAAAGATAACTTTGTTGTTTAAAATAAGTCTATGGCTTAGCAGAAGGAATTACCAATAGACAAGTCTGGATTCCTGTCATCCTCCTGGTGGGTAGTGAAATTTTAGGTCCACTGAAACCTGCAAAGTTACTAAGAATCTGATACAGAAAGTAAAATTATGAACTTGGATAATGGAAAACCTTCTTATGCAACTGTCTTTATATATTTGTGTGTTCCTTCCATATATATATATATAATTTTTTATAAGTTATGAAGAGTTTAGTCTAACCACATACCTAAAAGAAAGTTATAAATAAACAGGCTCAACACCCAGCAAGGAGAGACTTTGTGTAATGTAATAAATTTTTATGTTTTTCACTGAAATATTCCTACTGGCACAGGACAATGAACGCATACCCCCCCACCGAGATCAAGTGCCTTTGCCTGAAGCAAACCAGATATAAGAACACTCTATGAAGTCGCTTTTTTCATATTAAAAATTCACATACTTCTTGCATTCTGCTCTATAATATATTTTTGCTTATTTTAATATAAAAGTAATATGTTTTTCTCAAATCCTCAGATAAAATTGATGCTCCAAGAATATTTACAATGTTTTGATTCAGTATAGTAGAGCGGTTATGATTACAGATTCTGCCATGAGACTGCTGAGCTGAAATGTCATCACCATTCTGTACTAGCTCTGTGACTTGGGGCAAATTGCTTTCACCTCTCTGCCTTGGTTTTCTCACATGTAAAAATGGAGATTATGTTATCCATTATGATAAAAACTATCATCAGTAGTTGGTTTTTTAAGCTTCTGCCACACTTTTAGAGCCTCAAGAGTTGCATGTACCAAAATTTGAGAAAGATAGGTGATGTTAGGATTCTGCTGCTTGAAATGATAAGAATGCCTATTGGAGTGATGTGTAATAGCATACACACACACGTACACACACACCCATACACACAATTTTATTTCGGTTGTACTCATATGTGGATTTCTGATGCAATCTGAGTAAAGAGGTTTAATAATAGGCAAGACTAATTTTATTTAAAGACCACTATCACAGTCAATAATACTGGGAAGTGTGAATCTTTCTGATGGCCCACCACTACTTTCTGAATTTGCCTTTATTCCTACAATACTCATAATAAGGTCATTTTTACTTCGTAGAGGTTGGGTGATTATTTTCAACATTCAAGTCTTCAAAAATCTTAGTGTTCTTCTCCTGGAAAACATTGTCAGGCTGCAAATTTTCTGAACTTTTATGCTCTGCTTCCCTTTTAAGTGTAAGTTACAATTACAAACAATATATTTGTGAAACATAAAACTGAATGTTTTTAACAGTAACCAGGTCATCTCTTGAATGCTTTGCTACTTAGAAATTTATTCTACCAGATGCCCTAAATCATATCTTTAAAGTTCAAAGTTCCACAAAACTCTAGGACAGGGCAAAATGCCATCAGCCTCTTTGCTAAAACATAGCAAGAGTCACCTTCGCTTCAGTTCCCAACAAGTTCTTCATCTCCATCTAAGGCCACTGCAGCCTGGACTTTATTGTCCATATCACTATGAGCATTTTAGTCAAAGCCATTCAACACGTCTCTAGGAAGAGCCAAACTTTCTCACATCTTCCTGTCTTCAGAGCCCTCCAAGTCTATAGGAAGTCCAAACTTTCCCACATTTTCCTATCTTCTTCTAGGTCTTCCAAACTGCTTCAACCTCTGCCTGTTACCCCATTCCCAAGTCACTTCCACATTTTCATGTATCTTTACAGCAGCACCCCACTACCTGGTACCAATTTACTGTATCAGTCTGCATTCACACTGCTAATAAAGACATATCTGAGAGTGCGTAATTCATAAAAGAAAGAGGTTTAATTGACTCACAATTCCACACAGCTGGGGAGGCCTCACAATCATGGTAGAAGCAGAATGAAGAGCAAAGTCATGTCTTACATGGCAGCAGGCAAGAATTTGTGTCACGGAAGTCTCCTTTATGAAACCATCAGATCTCGTGAGGTTTATTCACTATCCCAAGATCAGCATGGGAAAGACCTGCCCCCATGGTTCAATTACTTCCCACTAGGTCACTCCCACAACACATGGGAATTAAGGGAGCTACAATTCAAGATAAGATTTTGGTGGGGACACAGCCAAGCCATATCACCTATATAACAAACCTGCACATCCTGTACATGTGCCCTGAACTTAACATTTTTAAAAAAGGAAAAGAAAATGAAGGGGCTCTCACCAGAATGTTAAATATTATGGGGGAATAGTCTCAGGAATTCTCAAAGTCCAGTTTCACATTTGTAGTAAGAGTTTGTAATTTATGTTAATCCAGCTTCATTCTATAGGCTTGTAGTTGTCCTATTTTCCGATATTTTCACATGGTAAATACTATGTAACCTGCAAAAACCCATATAACTAATTGCCTGGGAAAATCCCTGAAAAAAGTCACTGATAAGAGGTTAGCATAGAAAAAAAATGTGTTCAAGTCCTCAGGATCTCTTTAGATTTTTTTGGCGAACTGTGCAGCATATATCATAATGCCCTTTAAACCATGTTAATAAAATTAAAGGACATGTGCCATTGTGTATGTTATAGGGCTCAGGAGAAAATAATGCAGTGCATTCAAAGTAATCTCCAAGGAGAGTGTGGTCATCCTTTTGTTACCTTTATTAGAATCATCCTTCATAATCTTTTTAAATTGAATATTTAGTTTACCATTTTTTCATGTCGCATTCAAATTTTTTTTTTCTTTTTTCCTTTTTGAAACTGATCCAGTAGTCAATACTAGATATAGCTTATTCAGTTTTAGGAAACTGGCTCTGGCCGAAGAGACATATACATGGAAGACTAAGTCAATAAATGTTTTAATAGTATAATGTGCTCAATTTATCCCCTAGGGTCAATGAGTTTTTTCTCCAACCAGATTCTGAATCTACAACTTTTTGACAAAAACAGAGATTTGTAAAAATGCCTAGGGATCTACATATTGTATCAAATAAGATGTTACTGAGTAATTAATGCTAACTAAATATTGGTCCTGAAGTCAATCACTTTTTTAAAATATAAATCCCTTTAAGTACTCTGAAAGTAGCAGTGAAAATAAGCAGTTATACTCTGTTTACTTCAGAACTAAAGCAATAAAGTCACCTGCCAAGGTGCCCTTGCAATAGGTCTGAACAAGATCTATTTGATTATTTGAAGCTAATTGCCTTTGTACAATCAACACAGTCCAGGTAACAGTGGTTTATAGTAAGTGATTCAAAATCCAAATCATCATCATCATTATAATTACCATTTAGATACCTACTGTGTGGAAAGAATTTCATACAGATTATGCACATTTTTCCTTAAAATTTTTTATAACAATTCTCCTAAGTAAGAGGGTAATTTCAGTAGAAAATCTGACTCTTGGAATTGTTATGAAGGTTAAATGGGTTAATAAACTTTTTAGCATAGTGATGACATATATTACCTGTTTTTACTATCAAAATGATGGGTGAGTCTACTGGGGCTCAGAAAACTGCTATTGTGGCTTAAATTCATTTAAGATCTTATGATGAACAGGGTATAAAAGAAAAATTAGAATATCGATAATGAATAAAAAAGCAACAAATAGGATAAATCATAAACCATGCAGAAGAAGTGAAAACTTAAGAACTCAAACCACATATGTACTCTATGACTCTATATCCTTATAAACAGTGATATGAGTCTATGACTGGTGTTATAGAATTTGATGACAAGGCAAAGACAGTTAGGTAAGTTAGAATGTAATAAGTTATCAGGGAACCCTAAATCTGTTACTTATATTACAAATATTTGAAACTCTGTGATTTGTATGGCCCCCTTTTTCTGAAGGAAAAGGTAAAAGAAAACAGCTATATATATTCGATCTTCATATCATATGTTACAAATACAATATAGAAGTGGCTTTTGAGATTGCCAAACGTACTATTTTGAACTTGGATGGAGTTTAAAGATTACCTAGTATTTTCTACTATATGTTCCATGGAGGGATAGAGGGATGAAAGGAGGATTTTTCCATGACTAAAAATATTTCCGTGATCATTACTTTCAAAGAATGCCAAATGAAGTATGGTTTAAAATTAATTTCATCATATTTTATTCTATGCTTTAGTATTTCTCAGAGCTATTATAAAAATATGTAACCTGTACTACCTAACAAATAACATGCAATATTTATTGAATGAAATACAAGACACATACATTTTTTTTTTTTTTTTTTTGAGACAGCATCTTGCACTGTTGCCCAGGCTGGAGTGCAGTGGCGCTATCGCGGCTCACTGCAAGCTCCGCCTCCCGGGTTCACTCCATTCTCCTGCCTCAGCCTCCGGAGTAGCTGGGACTACAGGCGCCTGCCACCACGCCCAGCTAATTGTTTATACTTTTAGTAGAGACAGGGTTTCACCGTGTTAGCCAGGATGGTCTCGATTTCCTGACCTCGTGATCTGCCCGCCTCGGCCTCCCAAAGTGCTGGGATTACAGGCATGAGCCACCGTGCCTGGCCAGGATGCATAAAATTTTAAAAGTTCTTTGTGACACTTCAAAAGGGAAATTAATACAAAGACCTTTAAAAACAAATTTGGGCTGGAAATTATTTTTGTATCAGAGTATTCTCCATGACTAATATGCACAAATCACATTGGGGAATGCTGGTTTGGTCAAACCATTTTATTTGAATACGAAGGAGCTATGGCTAATAGAGAGAAAGCAACATGTTTAAGGTCACACTTGTATTTAATTTTTCAGGAAGACTTCCACTTCCTGAAAAACATTAACAACAATGGAATCCACCTAAATGCCCATCAGTAAATGAATGAATAAAGAAAATATGTAAAATATACACAATGGGATACTATTCATCCCTAAGAAAGAACAGAATCCTGTCATTTGTAACAACATGGAAGACTCTAACAGACACTATATTAAATGAAATAAGCCTGATGTAGGAAGACAAACACCATGTGATCTCACATATATGTGCTTTCTAAAAAAGTTGATCTCATAGAAGTAGTGAACAGAATAATGGTTAACAGAGGCTGAGCTGGTTAGTGGGGAGTGAAGGAGTAGGGGATATTGGTTAAAGGATTTATAATTACAATTAGGAAAAAGGAATATTTTAAATGGAATATTTTTAAATATCCAGATGGGGCAAAATTTTATAGAGATAGAAAGTAGGAAAGTCGTTGCCAGGGCCTGGGGGTAGAAAGGAGAGCATAGATGGGGACAGGAAGAGAAATCAATCATGACTATGAATCGTTATGGAGTTTCTTTTTAGGGTGGTGATGAAAATGTTCTACATTTGTGGTTATTGTTACACAACTCTGTTAACATGCTAAAATACACGGGGGTGTACATTTTAAATGAGTGAATTGTATGATATGTAAACTATATCTTACTAAAACTGTTTAAAAAGCAACAACCTCCCCCCAAAATCTTAACTTTTCACAGGTAAGATGCCCATGTTTAAAAAAAAATAACTTTTTCAAAGTGTATTCAGCACTAATACAGCTATTTGAAAAGTAAGACAAATCATTCACGACTTCCATTTCTTTGAAGTGTGTCAATTATCTAATTGTTGCTAAATACCTTGATAGTTATTTTCATATTGTATTATTAAATTTGACAGAATAAATTGAGTTAATAAACATTTAAGTTGAGTAGGTAGAGACACCTACTTTGGCATATCCTATTAGTTATTGTGATGAATTGTCCATACATTTTACTCATTTTTTAAAAATCTAGTACAATAACACTGAATTAACACACTGGATTATTACTAATTGTAATACACTTTTCAAATATTAAATTCTGATTTGTAACAGTTCTAAAATTAGCATATGAAATTCAAAGCAGCCAATGAAATGGAAAATCTTAAGAGCCTAAGAGAGTTTGAAATATGTCATAATGAAATCTTAGTTCCACTTCAATTTTCTCTGTTCCCTGGAAGTGCAAGTTACCAAATCCATTAACAAACTATAACATTGATTTTTCTACAATCCATTATATTCCTTGCATTTTTAAGTGTTTTTCCTGTTCATTGTTATAGAAAATGTTCTAAAAATGAACATTGAATTATTTATGTTGCATTTAGTTCTCCTTAATTCAACTGTTTAAAATTGTAATTGGTATTCTGTTTGGTTGGCATGTATTTAAAATGCTGTCCCCAGATCTAACTTATGAAATATTCTGTTGGTTAAATCAAATAAGGGAAGGAAAGGACTCAAATAAGGTTTTGAAAATACGTAT